>NC_000002.12:195974466-196277496 GCF_000001405.40 Homo sapiens
TATTTGCTAATTCTGTCAAAGGCTATTATGTACAGTAGAAATTCACAATAAATAATCCCCAAATTCCTAAATATTTCCAGTAATAGCTAGGAGGATAAATAAATGATGATACTCTCCATATTCAATATTCATTTTCCCAAAGGAATTTTCCTTTAATGAACAGGAATTTACAGTTTAACTCTCCAACTACATTTATAATCATTCATAACCAAAGAATCACTTGATGTCCAACAATAATATAAAATATAAAAATATTCTAAAAATATATATAGGCATGTATGTATATTTTACACACACACACACACACACACACACACACACACACACACAGTCACATATGAAGGACCTCAATCCAAGTACAAATACTTTCCAAAGGACAGAACTCTCCTTAAAGACTGATACGTAAAAATTGGTTCTAATGATTTTAACAAATTTTCATTTAAGTGAATGATTTTTAAAAATACATATGTAATCACTTTAACTCTTTTTTATAATTTCCTGTGTATAGAAAGTTTTGAATGATTTTTATGATTTGCTGGGCGCACTTAAATACTTTAAAATCAGGATCGAGGCAGAGAAAGATGGCTGAATCGAAGCCTCCACTGATCATTCTCCCCATAGAAATACCAACTTTAACAACCATCTAAACCCAAAAGCACCTTCATGAAAACCAAACATCAAGTGAATGATCACAGTACCTGGTATTAACTTCATATTACTGAAAGAGACACCGAAGAGGGTAGGAAAGATAGTCTTGAATTGTGGATGCCATCCCTCCCCTGGCCCCCCGCATCAGCTGCTAGGCACTGAGAATCTCTGTTCTCAGGGAGGGAGAGTGGGACTTTGTGTTGGAACTCGGTGCTGCCAACATGCACAGACCTCAGCAAATGCCCATGGAGGGACCACTTAGAGCAGCCCTAGCCAGAGGGAAATCACCCATTCCAGATGTTACAACCTGAGTTTTGGCAAACCTTGCCACCATGGGCTAAAGTGTTCTGAGGCTCTAAACAACTTGAAAGGCAGTCTAGGCCACAAGAACTGCAACTCCTAGGCAAGTTTTAGTGCCGTGTGGGGTCAGAGCCAGTGGGCTTGAGGTGCACATGACCTAGTGATATACCTAGCTAAAGAAGTGGTTGTGCCATCCCTCCCCCAACCCCAGGCAGCACAGCTCACTGCTCCAAAGAAGACCCCTTCATTCCACTTGAGGAGAGGAAGAGAAAAGAGTAAAGAGGACTTTGCAACTTGGATACCAGCTCAGCCACAGCAGGATAGGGCAATGGGTAGAGTAGTGAGGCCCCCATCTTAGGCCCTAGCTCCTGGAAGACATTTCTAGACACACATGGGCCAGAAGAAAACCCACTGGCTTGAAGGGAGGGATGCAGTCCTGGCACAATTCATCACCTGCTGACTAAAGAGCCCTTGGGCACTGAATAATCAGGAGCAGTAGCCAGTTAGGAAACACCCTGGGCCTTGGATGAGACTCTGAGATGTCCTGGCTTCAGGTGTGATCTGGCACATTCACAACTGTAGTGGCTACCAAGAGAGACTCCTTCTGCTTAAGAAAAGCAGAGGGAAGAGTAAAGAGGACTCTGTCTTGCAGTTTAGATACCTCAGCCTTGCAGCTCGGCCACAGTGTGGCAGAGTATGAAGTGGGATCTCGGGATCCCCAATTCCAGGCCTTGGCTGTTAGGAGGAATTTCTGGACCTATCTTGGGCCAGAGGGGAGCCCACTTTTGTGAAAGTGGGTCCTAGGTTTAGCAACATGCACCACAACCTGACTGAAGAGCCCTTGGGCCTTAAGTGAACATTGGCTGTGGCCTGGCAATACTCCCCAAGGACCTGTGGTGGTGGTGGACATAAGAGTCTCCTCTGCTTATCAAAAGGGGAGGGAAGAGTGGGAAGGACTTTGTCTTGTGGTCTGATGCCAGTTCAGCTGCAATAGAGTAGAGTACCACATAGATTCCTAAGGTTTCCTACTCCAGGCCCTGGCTCCCAGGCAGCATCTCAGGGACACTCGGAGCTGGGGGAACTCACTGACCTGAAGGGAGGAACACATGCCTGGATGGCTTCACCATCTGCCAATTGTAGAGCCCTAGGGCCTTGAATAAACACAGGCAGTAGCAAGTAAGAGGTTACCATGGGCCTTAAATGAGAACCAGTGTTGCACTGGCTTCAGTTCTGACCAAGCACAGTCCCAGTGGTGATGGTCACAAGGGTGTTTGTGTCACCCCTCCCCCAGTTCCAGGCAGCTTAGCAGACAGAGAGAGACAGAGAGGCAGACAGAGAGAGAGAGAGAGAGAGAGAGAGAGAGAGAGAGAGAGACTCTCTAATTATTTGGGAGAAATTAAGGGAAGAGAATAAGAGTCTCTGCCTGGTAATCAAGACAAGTCTTCCAGATTATATCCAAGACCACCAAGGCAGTACCTCTACAAGGCTATGAGATCCACAGTGTTACTGGGCTTGGGGTATCCCTTAATGCAGACACAGAAGAAGTGACCAAAAACTTAGATCACAACATTTAAGTCCCTTCAAATACCTGGAAAGTCTTCTCAAGAAGGAAGGGTACAAACAAGCCCAGAATGCTAAAGGTATAATACCTAACTCTTCAAGGCCCAGATACCAATGAACATCCACAAGCATCAAGACTGTCCAAGAAAACATAACCTCATCAAACAACCTAAATAAGGCACCAAAGAGATAAACCCAAAGAGATAGAGATATGTGAGATTTCAGACAGACAATTCAAAATAGCTGTTTTCAGGAAACTCTTTGAAATTCAAGATAACACCATGAAGGAATTCAGAATCTCATCATATAAATTTAACAAAGAATTTGAAATAATGAAAAAAGAATCAAGAAGAAATTCTGGGGTTGAAAATGTAATTGACATACTGAAGAATGCATCAGACTCTTAATAGCAGAGTTTATCAAAAAGAAGAAAGAATTAGTGAGCTTGAAGATAGGCTACCTAAAAATACACAGAGGAGACAAAAGAAAAAGGGATAAAAAAGAATGAAGTACACCTATAGGATCTGGAAAATAGCCTCAAAAGGGCAAATCTAAGAGTTATTGGCCTTAAAGAAGAGGTAGAGAGAGATAGGTAGAACCTTATTCAAAAGGATAATAACAGAAAATTTTCCAAACCTAGAGAAAAATATCAATATTTCGGTACAAGAAGGTTTTAGAACACCAAGCAGATTTAACCCAACAAAGACTACCTCAACATATTTAATAATCAAACTCCCAAAGGTCAAAAATAAAGAAAGGATCCTAAAAACAGCAAGAGAAAATAAACAACCCCCAATGGAGCTCCAACATGTCTGACTGCAGACTTTTCAGTGAGAACCTTACCACCCAGCAAAGAGTGGCATGACATATTTAAAGTGCTGAAGGAAAAAGAACTTGTATCCTAGAATAGCAAATCTGGTGAAAATATCCTTCAAACATAAAGGGGAAAGAAGAACTTTCCCAGACAAACAAAAGCTGAGGGATTTCATCAACACCAGACCTGTCCTACAGGGAATATTAAAGGGAGTTCTTCAATCTGAAAGCAAAGGACAATAATGAACAATAATAAATAATCTGAAGGTACAAAACTCATCAATTATGGTAAATAAACAGAAAAACACAGACTATTATAACACTGTAATTGTGGTGTGTAAACTATATATATATGTTAAGTAGAAAGGCAGAAAGATGAACTGGTAAAAAATAACTACAACTTTTCCAGACAGATAGTACAGTAAGATATAAGCAGAAACAACAAAATGTTAAAAAGCAGGGGGATACAGTCAAAACATAAGATTTTTAAATTAATTTTCTTTTTTCTTGCTTATTTGTTTATGCAATCAGTGTTGTCAACAATTTAAAATAATAAATTATAAGATATTATTTGCAAAATTTATGGTAACCTCAAATCAATAAACATACAACAGACATACAGAAAACGAAAAGCAGGAAGCTAAAACATACCACCAGAGAAAATCACCTTCACTAAAAGGAAGACAGAAAGGAGAAAAAGAAGGAAGAGAAGACTGCAAAACAACCAGAAAACAAATGACAAAATGGCAGGAGTATAGCCTTACTTATCAATCAAAATTATCAATAACAACAATAACATCAAAAGTAAATGGACTAAACTCTCCAATCAAAAAACATAGCCTTGCTGAATGGATAACAAAACAAGACCCAGTGATCTTTCACCTACAAGAAACACACTTCACCTACAAAGACACACATAGCCTGACAATAAAGAGATGGAAAAAGATATTCCATGCCAATGAAAACCAAAAGAGACCCGGAGTAGCTACACGTATATCAGAAAAAGTAGATTTCAAGATAAAAGCTATTAAGAGACAAAGAAGGTCATTGTGTAATGATATAGGGGCTGATTCAGCCAGAGGATATAATAATTGAAGATATATAGGCACCCAACACTGGAGCACCAGGTATATTAAGCAAATATTATTAGAGCTAAAGAGAGAGATAGACCTCAATACAATAATAACTGGAGACTTAAATATCCCATTTCAACATTCATACAAAACATGTCATACAAAAAAGGATTGTATGTCATATGTCATACAAAAAAAGATCATTCATACAAAAAAATAAACAAAGAATCATCAGATTTAATCTGCACTATAGACCAAATAGACCTAATAGATATTTACAGAACATTTCATCCAATGGCTGCAAAATACACATCCTTCTCTGCAGCACATGGATCATTCTCAAGAATAGACCATATATTAGATGCCAAAACAAATCTTAAAACTTTCAAAAAATTGAAATAATATCAAGTATAGTCTCTGACCACAATGGAATAAAACAAGAAATCAGTAACAAGAGGAATTTTGGAAACTACACAAACACATGGAAATTAAACAATATGCTCCTGAATGATCAGTGAGTCAATGAAGAAATTAAGAAGGAAATTGAAAAAATTTCTTGGAGGAAGTGATAATGGAAACATAACATACCAAAACCTATGGGACACAGCAAAAGCAGCACAAAGAGGGAATTTTATAGCTACAAGTGGCTAAATTAAAAAGTACAAAAACTTCAAATAAGCAATGCTCTGATTTAAATAATTCTAAAAGCAAGTGCAAATCAAACCCAAAATTAGTCTAAGAAAATAAATAATAAACATCAGAGCAGAAATAAATGAAATTGAAATAAAGGAAAGAATACCAAAAGATGAACTGAAAAGTTGGTTTTATGAAAAGCTAAACAACATTGACATACCTTTAGCCAGACTAAGAAAAAAAGAGAGAAGACTCAAATAAATAAAATCAGAGATGAAAAAGAAGACATGACAATCAAAACCACAGAAATTCAGAGGATCATTAGAGGCTACTAAAGACAACTATATCCCAATAAATTGGAAAACCTAGAAGAAATGGACAAATTCCTAGACACATACAAACTATCAAGACTGAACCACAAAGAAATACAAAACCTTAACAGACCAACGGGTAACAAGATCAAGTAACAAGATCAAATCCATAATAAAAAGTGTCCCAACAAGGAAAAGCCCACGACCTGATGGCTTCACTGCTGAATTCTACCAAACCTTCCTACTCAAACTAATACAAAAAAAAAAAAAAAAAAAAAAAAACTAGAGGAGGGGCGATATGGTTTGGCTGTGTCCCCACCCAAATCTCATCTTGAATTGTAGCTCCCATAATCGCCATGTGTCATGGGAGGGACCCGGTGGGAGGTAATTGAATTACAGAGGCAGTTATCCTCAGGCTGTTCTGGTGATACTGAGTCAGTTCTCAGGAGATCTGATGGTTTTATAAGGTGCTTTTCCACCGGGCTTCATTCATTCTTTGCCTTCCTGCTGCCATGTGAAGAAGGACATGTTTGCTTTCCCTTCTGCCATGACTGTAAGTTTTCTGAGGCTTCCCCAGCCTTGCAGAACTGTGAGTCAATTAAACCTCTTTCCTTTATAAGTCATCCAGTCTCAGGTATTTCTTCATATCAGCATGAGAACAAACTAATGCAAGGAGGAAATACTTTCATCAAGCTCATTCTATGAGGCCAGTATTACTCTGTCACCAAAACTAGACAAAGATGCATCAAAAAATAGAAAACTTTAAGATAATATCTCTGATGAATATTGATGCAAAAGTCCTCAATAAAATACTAGCAAACTGAATTCAACCACACATTAAAAAGGTCATTCACCATGACTAGGTGGGATTTATCCCAGGGATGCAAGGATGATCCAACATATGCAAATTAATGTGATACACTGTATCAACAGAATGAAGGACAAAATTCATATGACCATTTTGATTGATGCTAAAAAAGCATTTTATAAAATTCAACATTGCTTCATGATAAAAAAAAAAACCCTCAAAAATTGTGCACAGGAGGACACAATAAAAACCACAGGACAGACTCACAGCTAGTATCATACTGAATGGGGAAAAACTGAAAGCCTTTCCTCTAAAATCTGGAACACAACAAGGATGCCAATTTTCACCACTGTGATTCAACATAGTACTAGAAGTCCTAGCTAGAGCAATCAGATAAGACAAAGAAATAAAAGTCATCCAAATCAGAAAGAAAAGTTAAATTATCCTCGTTTGCAGATAATATATTATATTTGAAAAATCCTAGAGACTCCACCAAAAAACTATTAGAACTGATAAATTCGGTAAAGTTGCAGGATACAAAGTTACATACAGAAACCAGTAGCATTTACATTTACGTATGCCAAAGGTGGGACAATCTGAAAAAGAAATCAAGAAAGTAATCTCATTTACAATAGCCATAAATAAAATTAAATACCTAGGATTAACCAAAGAAGTGAAAGATCTCTATAGTGAAAATTATAACACAATGATGAAAGAAATTGAAGACACCAAAAAAAGGAAAGATATTCCATGTTCATAAATTAGAAGAATCCAATATTGTTAAAATGTCCATACTACCCCAAAAAGCAATGTCAATGTCAATGACATTCCTCAGAAATAGAAAAAAAAAACTTAAAATTTATACGAAACCGCAAAAACCCCAGAATAGCCAAAGCTATCCGGAGCAAAAAGAACAAAACTGGAGGAATCACATTACCTGATTAGAAATTATACTATAGAGCTACAGTAACCAAAATAGCATGGTGCTTGCAGAAAAACTGACACACAGACTATTGGAACAGAATGGAGAACACAGAAACCAATTCATAAATCTACAGTGAACTCATTTTCGAGAAAAATGCCAAGAACATACCTTGGGATAAGGACAGTCTCTTCAATAAATGGTACTGGGCAAACTGGATATTCATATGCAGAAGAATGATACTAGACCTCTGTCTCTCAACATATACAAAAATCAAATCAAAATGGATTAAAGACTTAAATCTAAGACCTCAAACTATGAAACTGCCACAAGGAAACATTGGAGAAACTTTCCAGGAACTTGGACTGGTCAAATATTTCTTGAGTAACACACCACGAGTACAGGCAAACAAAGCAAAATTGGACAAATGGGATCACATCCAGTTAAAAAGCTGCTACATGGCAAAGGAAACGATCAACAACATGAAGAGACAACCCAGAGCACGGGAGAAAATATTTGCAAACTACCCATCTGACGAAGGATTAATAACCAGAACTATACTATTGCAGCACTATACAAGGAGCTCAAACAACTCTATAGAAAAATCTCTAATAATCTGATGAAAAAGTGGGCAAATTATCTGAATAGATATTTTTCAAAAGACATACAAATGGCAAACAGGCATATGGAAAGGTGCTCAACATCACCAATCATCAGAGAAATGCAAATCAAAACTACAATGACATATCATTTCACTCCAGTTAAAATGGCTTTTATCCAAAAGACAGGCAATAACAAAGGCTGCTGAGAATGCAGAGAAAAGGGAACCCTCTTACACTGGTGGTGGGAATGTAAATTAGTACAACCACTATGGAGAACAGTTTGGAGGTTTCTTGAAAAACTTAAAACTGAAGTTACCATATGATCCAGCAATCCCACTGCTGGTATATACCCCAATGAAGGGAAATCAGTATATTGAAGAGATATCTGCACTCCTATGTTTGTTGCAGCACTATTCACAATACCCAAGATTGGGAAGCAATGTAAGTGTCCATCAACAGATGAATAGAAAAAGAAAATGTGGTACACAATGCAGTACTATTCAGTTATAAAAAAGAATGAGATTCTGTCATTAGCAATAACATGGATGGAACTGAAGGTCATTATGTGAAATCAGCCAGGCACAGAAAGACAAACTTTGCATGTTCACACTTATTTGTGATAGCTAAAAATTAGAACAATTGAACTCATGGAAGTGGAGAATAGAAGGATGGTTACCAGAGGTTGTAAGGGTAGTGGGTGGATGTGGGGGATGTGGTGATGGTTAGTGGGTGCAAAAATATATTAATATTTTGAAAGAATGAAAAAGATCTAGTATTTGATAGCATAACAAGATGACTATATCAATAATTTAATTGTACATTTTGAAATAGCTAAAAGTATGTAATTGGATTGTCTGAAACACAAAGGATAAATGCTTGAGGTGCCAGATACCCCATTTACCCTGATGTGATTATTACACATTGTAAGCCTACATCAAAATATCTCATATTCCCCATAAATATATGCACCTGCTATGTACCCATGAAAATTAAAAACAAAATTTAAAAGGATTTTTTGAATAATAATGGAAAAATACCACAAAAACTTAATGTTATAAGAATGAAAAGTAAACAAAATGAAATGGCAATTAGCTAGTTGTTTAACATTATTTTATTTGCCATTAGGTAGACTTCTGTATTAATCCATTTTGTGTTGCTATGAAGGAGTACCTGAGGCTGGGTAAATTTGTAAAGAAAATAGGTTTTTTGGCTGACAGTTCTGCTAGCTGTACAAGAAGCATGGTGCCAGCATCTGCTTCTGGTCAGGGCCTCAGGAAGCTTTTACTCATGGCAGAAGGCAAAGGGTAATGTGACACATGGCAAGAGGGGGAGCAGAAGAGAAAGGAGGGGGTGCCAGGCTCTTTTTAATAATCAGATCTCAAGAAAACTAAACTAGCAAGAAGTCACTCATTACCATCAGGAAGGCACCAAGCCATTCATGAGGGATCCACCAAAAACCTCCTACTAGGCCCCACCTCCAACACTGGGGATCATGTTTCAACATAAGATTTGGAGGGGACAAGCATTCAAACTATATCAACTTCAAACATAGAAGTAACATGAGAAATGATGAAAGTGAGACTTATCTAATATTTTCAGTGTCATAAATTCTATGCCTAAATATAGCTCAACAAACTATCACAGAAAAGCTTAATATAAACAAAATACAGCTTTTATAAAAAATAAAATGTCACTTAAGGCTTAAATATTTGTTGATAAAACAAATGAAGAGTGATTACACAGCTCAGGCTTCCCGGGACAGTCCTGGTTTGTTCCTGTTAGCATGGCAATAATTGTTGCGTGTTCTCAAAAATAACCTGATAGATAATTGCATTAATTGTTCCAATACTTCACCTCTCCAGTATCCATGCCCTGTAGGGTCCTCTCAATCAGACTTGTTTTGGTCAATGAGATGTTAGCTAATGTGACACAAGCAGAGTCTTGAAAAGCACTTGTACAATTGAATTTGCTTGTATGTCTGTACCATGACATGAGAACACACCCAGATGAGCCTGCTGGGGCTTGAGGGACAAGTGGAGCCAAGTCAACCTGCTGAAGGTTAGTTAGACTAGTCAACCCAACTAAGTGAGTGACCCAACAGGGTGACCCCATGGAGACCAGAAGAACCAACCAGGAGCATCTAGCCTAAATTACCAAACTGCAAACTCATGAGCTATGTATTTTGAAAGTCATTATTATTTTTTATTTATTTTATTTATTTATTTTTTTTGAGACAGAGTATTGCTGTGTTGCCAGGCTGGAGTGCAGTGGCGCAATCTCGACTCATTGCAACCTCTGCCTCCCGGGTTCAACCGATTCTCCTGCCTCAGCCTCCCGAGTAGCTGGGACTACAGGCGCATGCCACCACACCCAGCTAATTGAAAGTCATTATTATTTTTAATCTGTCTTAACTTTTCGAGTGATTTGTTACTCCGCATTATTGTGTCAATAATTAATTGATACACACACAATTATGGAGAAGCTATAAACAATACCTTCATTTCCATTAGTTCTGCTGTATTTGGAGGAGTGCTAAGAGCTTTTTCAGCTATCCTCTCAAATTCATCGCATAATCTGAAACACCAAGTAAAACCAATCTTACATATTTACAGTTCAATTTAATTCCAAAATATATTCCTGTATACTGTTTAAATATTCCATTGCATGAAAAATAAAAACTATAACTTAGCTATATGACATCTAATAATTAAAAGCAAATTTGCATACATTTACTTATTCAGTGCACATTTGATGATCTAGTACATTTTTAACTATAATACTGTGACAGTGACACATAAATGAATCAGATAGCATAATGGCCCTCAAGCAACTCACAATACAGTAAGGGAGATAGGACTGTGAACAATCATTTCCAACCTGAGCTTTAAGGGCTCTAAGAGAGATTTAGTTGAGATGGCACAAAGAAAGTAGTACAAAGGAAAGGAATGATTAACTATACTTGGAGGGATTGTTTAAAATAGGCCTGTGTGCTCAGGAACTTCCAGTAATATGCAAATATTTCCTACTGATTTGGGTTGCTGCCAATACAAACCATGAACTTATTTTGGCATACAGAAAAAAAAAGTAGCAAGAGCTAAGGGAGTTCAAATGAAACGAATAGAACAATTCTTCAGTAAGATTGGCTGAAAGGTGAAGGAGAGTGGAACAGCATGGGGATAATGGGTTAAAGTCTGGGGCTGGGAGATGAAAGAGGGCCTCCAACATGTTTGTAACCTTCAGAGGGAAAATCAACCGGGAAGGAGAGGTTCAAAATAAGGAATATAGAAGGGATAACTGAAGGAGCCAGGTTCAGAGGCATTGAAAGCAATGGGGCTGAGCTCCTAGGCAGAGAGAAAAACTGAATGGTGTGACAGACTTCTGCCCTCTGAGTAGGTGGGAGACAGGCTTTCTGGAGAGGTGAGTCAAACCATGCAGGGGCAAGAAGTGGAAGGCATTCATATCTAATGACTCCTTTAATAGTCCTGATATGTCCTCTGTCCATCCTAGGGAGTCTGGTGAGAGGCAAGAGGCATAATTAGGAGAAAATGGGAAAAAGTAGAACTGGCACAAGCTCAGAGAACATTAAGAGGCAGGGGAAGTAGCTACGAAATTAAAATAAGTATTTCACCCAGCATGAACAGCAATAAGAAGACACTTTCACTATTCTTCTAGTTCTTTTACAGGAAAAGGTGCTTTAAGCTGAAAATATGATCTGGTTCCTAGATAAGGTACTCAAGTCCTAGTCCTCTTTCACACAGTACCTTCATCCCCAGCCTTTCCTTTCACTTCTCTTCCCTCACGCTGTCTGTGAAAGCAATGCAAAACACTCCTAGTTCTTGGAATACACCCTGCCATTTTCACACCTCACTGCCCTCTACATATTATCTTCTCTTCCTGGAATTATTTTACCCACACTGTACACCTGACGGACTCCCACTCTTCCTTCAAAATAAAATTCACATGTCAGTTCCTCTTTGCAGCCTTCCCTGATTCTCCCCTCTCCCCCAAACTCCATCTTGGGAGGAAATTAATTCTGTCCTCTCTGTTCTACCTTGTGGCTCATTACAGTACTTATTGCATGGTATTGTAATTTACTGGTTTGTGTGTCTATTTCTCCTTCTACATTGTAACTTCCTTCAGCAGTTTTATTCATGTTTAGAGCCTTAGAGCCGAAGTGGCTAGTCTTGTGCCTAACACATGGTAGGTAAATAAAACTTCCTTCAGGCTTCTATACAGCTTGAAAGAAATATTTTTAATGATCTGTTTTTTTCTCTGATACCATAATCATAAAATATATCCTGATTATTTAGAGTTTTTCACCCATGTAACTGATGCTAGTCGAGAGATTCCCAGAGCAACATTACCACCAGTTGTTGGAAGACTAGTTCTTCTTGTCTTAAAGAAACAGGTATTCTGCTTTATACACTAGTATTCTGTGAGTTTACTTAACATGGGTCAGTTTTCCCGAAAATCCCTAGGTTAGTCACAAATGAATTTCCAGATAAAAGAAAAAGTTACCATGGCCCTCAAGAGTAATTTTAGGAAGATGAAGTTTCAAATGTGATGGTCCCTTAGGACCCATAACAACTACTATGTAAATCCACTTTGAAACCCACTTTGCATATTGATTACACAAATATAAAAATCTGAATTTAGATAATGTCCACTTGACTTGTGTAAAAGAAATACACATTTTAATACCACCTTAACTCAGACAATTGGGGAGGCACATTTGTGGTGAAAAAAATAATAAATACTAATAATCACATCACAAAGTGACACTTAAAGCCAAGCAGAAATAAGTTTAGCATAATCATTTCTTTGGAATCATTTATGGCATTGCTTTAATCAATTACTCTAGTTGAGTGACAGCTGATTCTATTAAACATCCCCTCCCAAAAAATAAAAAAACCAGTATCACATAAATACCTTGTATTTACTTCCTGATGATCTCTGAACATTTTAGCTAGAAGTTTCCCACAAATAATATCTGCTCGCTTCACCAAAGCTCTGATTAATTCCTCACAGTGCATTTCAAACATTCCTAAACGAATAGTCTGCAAAAGATTAAAAGTTTAATCAACATAAGAAGAAATAAAACAAATAAATTTTCACAATTTTGCCATTCTCATAATTTTTATTTTTGTGTGTGATGTAACAAGATTGAGATTTTTAAAAATATATATAATTCAGGGAGGGTTTTCCAAATAATCATTTGTATTATACAACTATCTTCTGGGTAAATATCCTTGAAAAGTTTATTATCTTGGAAGCCAATTCAATCTCAGGACAATATTAGCAATAACAATTTTGGTGAATTGAATTACTGTATTGCTAAATAAATAATGTAGGTTTCAAACGTTATAGTTGCTCTGTACAAAAAAAATACATGTTCATGGTAGAAAATTTAGAAAATGTAAAGGGGGACAGAAAAGAAAATTTTAAGTTACTAGTATTCTACTAAACAGAACCATATTTTGGTGTAATTACCATATTTTCCATATAAATCCACAGGATTTATAAACACTAAGGCAAAAATCAAATAGGTTCTTGGAATTATAGGGATGGGGCAAATTATATAAAATACGTGTCAGAGTTGCGGTAGTAGAGTCTCAGCTACATGAGCACAAGAATTGTGTTTTGCCTAGATTCTTATACTCAGGGCTTACCACAATGCTAGGGACACATCAGAAGCTCAATAAATATTTTTCCTGTTGATGATAATGTTCTAATTATCTGTGTTCTAAAAATACATCCTAATAAAACTGGGGAAAAGATACCAGATAGAGATAACAGTTGCACAAAACTGGAGTCATTTACCTTTATGGATGTGTACTGTATTTCCTCTATTAGTTTCTGGTATTTGCAAATTTCATCTATTATTTTTTCATAACTATGATTTTCTGCGAGGAAGTTATCAACATCTCGCTCAGCTTTTCTGGTAATTAAAAAGTCATACTTGTCATAGAGTCTGAGGTGCTCAGTAGGTGCCACACTCTCTTTCATAATAACTTCCTTGATCTTTTCTTTGTGAGCATCTACAATTTCATTCAGAATTATGGGCTTCAAGGTTGTTGGTTTAGACTTACTTTCCTAAACAAGGGGGTAAAAATAATAGTATTTAAAATATCTTAAAGTAACTATATCATTTATCTTTGTACAAACGCCAATCTTACAATGTTTCTTGTCTTTTTATTCACAAGGTTGTTTTAACTGTTTAACCTCTAATCTATAGAAAGATATTAGACTAATTGCAGCAGTGTTTTAAAATTTAGGTTCATATAATTTTTTGTTTTCTTTAAGGCTACCTAGTTGTGTTTCGTTTTTCTGTATGGATGAAAGAACAGTCAATTGAAAATATATACAAAATAATATTTAGAATAAAAAACAGCAAGATATACATTTTTAAATTTTATTTTTAATTCACATAATTATACATATTTATGGAATACAATGTGATGCTTTGACACATGTATACATTGTGTATTGATCAAATCAACATAATTAGTAAATCCATCACCTCAAACATTTCTCATTTCTTTGTAGTAAAAATACTCAAAATCCTCCCTTCTAGCTATTTTGAGATATATAATGCATTATTGTTAACTATAGTCACCCTAATGTGCAATAGAACACCAGAACTTACTCCTCCCATCTAACTAACTTTGTACTCAATTACCAACCTGTCCCCATCTCCCCCATTCCTTGCTACCCTTCCTAGCCTCTGGTAACCACTACTCTACTCTTTATTTCTATGAGATCAACTTTTTCAGATTCAACATATAAGTGAGATCATTCAGTATTTGTCTTTCTGTGTGGCTTATTTCACTTAACATAATGCCCTCCAGGGTTATCCATATAATTGCAAATGACAGGACTTCCTTCTTTCTATAGCTGAATTGTATTCCACTGTGTATATATATATCATGTTTTCTTTATCCATTCAACCACTGATGGACACTTAAGTCAATTCCATATCTTGGTTATTATGAATAGTGCTGTAATAAACATGGGAGTGCAAATAGCTCTTCAACATACTGATTTCCTTTCCTTTAGCATATATACCCAATAGTGGGATTGCTGTATCATATGGTTGTACTACCTGCAATTTTTTGAGGAACCTCCTTACTGTTTTCTATATTGGCTGCACTCATTTACATTCCCACCAACAGTGTGTAGGGGTTCCCTTTTCTCTACATCCTTGTCAACACATCATCTTTTGTCTTTTCAAGAACAGCTATTCTAACTAGAGTGAGGTGACATCTCATTGTGGTTTCTATTTGTATTTCTCTGATAATTAGAGATGTAGAACATTTTTTAGTATACCTGTTGGCCATCTATTTGTATATCTTCTTGTGATAAATGTCTTGTCAGGTTTTCCATCAATAATAGGATTATTTCTGGTTTTGCTATTGAGTTCCTTTTATATTCTGAATATTAACCTCTTGTCAGACATTGATATAGTTTGAATATATGTCCCTGCCAAATCTCATGTTGAATTGTAATCCCCAGTGTTGCAGGTAGGGCCTGGTGGGAGGTGTCTGGGTCATGGGGGTGGATTCCTCATGGTTTGGTTCTGCCCTTGCCATAGCAAACAAGTTCTCATGAGATCTGGTCATTTAAAAGTGTGTGGTAACTCCCCACTCCAGTCTCTCCTGCTCCTGCTCCTGCCACGTGAGACACCTGTTCCCTCTTCACTTTCCATCATGTCTGTAAGCTTCCTGAGGCCTCCCCAGAAGCAGATGCAAGCATTATGCTTACTGTACAGCTTGCAGCATCATAAGCCAATTAAACCTCTTTTTTAAATAAATTATCCAGTCTCAGGTATCTCTTTATAGCGATACAAGAATGACCTGTCACAGATGTACAGTTTGCAAATTTTTTATCCCATTATGTGGGCTCTTTATTCACTGCCTCCTTTGTGCAGAAGCTTTTTAGTTTGATGTAATCCCATTTGTCAATTTTTATTTTTGTTGCCTGTGTTTTTGAGGTCTTATCCAAAAAATCCTTGTCCAGATCAATGTCATAAAGCATTTGCCCTATATTTTCTTCTAGCAGTTTCACAGTTTTGGGTGTTACATTTAAATCTTTAATCCGCTTTGAGGTGATTTTTATATGGTGAGAGACAGGGGTCTAGTTTGATTTTTCTGTATGTGGATATCCAATTTTTCTGGCACCATTTATTAAAGAGACTATCCCTTTCCCAATGTATGCTCTTGGTGCCTTTGTCAAAAATTAGTTACTGGCTGGACATGGTGGCTCACACCTGTAATCCCAGCACTTCGGGAGGCCAAGGCAGGCAGATCACTTGAGCCCAGGAGCTCAAGACCAGCCTGAGCAATATGGCAAAACCCCATCTCTACAAAAAACACAAAAAATTAGTGATAGTGTACATCTGTAGTCCCAGCTACTCCAAGGGCACTGAGGTGAGAGAATCACCTGAGCCCAGGAGGTCAAGGCTGCAGCGAGCCATGATCATGCCACTGCACTCCAACCTAGGCGACAGAGTAAGACCCTGTCTCGAAAAAAAAAGTTATTGTAGAAGTGTGGATTTATTTCTAGGTTATCTATGCCATTCCATTGGTCTATGTGTTTGTTTTTATGCCAGTACCATGATGTTTAGGTTACTATAGCTTTGTTGTGTGTGTGTGTGTGTGTGTGTGTGTGTGTGTGTGTATATATATATACTTAAATATATATACATATATATACTTAAATATATATACATATATACTTAAATATATACATATATACTTATATACATATATATACTTAAATATATATACATATATATACTTAAATATATATACATATATATACTTAAATATATATACATATATATATATATATGCTTAAGTGTTTAAAATCATTTTATTGATACTTTACCATACGACATTTTTTCAAATTACACCCATTTGAGGTGATTAGATCACAGCTAGGGAACAGGTCACCCTGTAACAAATCTATTTACAAAATTCATCATAAAAGCTTTTTTCTGGCTGTTTTTTACATTACATTACATATTTTCTTTTTTAAGCTAGCATACAACACAAAGCTAAACTGACTCATAGTTTGCCTACTCCCAATTTTGGGAGAAATATTTCCTTTCTACCAAATCATGTACCCTGTAGGAAAATAAATTCCCACATGCTGACAATTGCCACCCAACTTTCTCTGCAAGGAATCTTCCTTCAAATCCCTCCTTCTCATACAGATAAGTTGTCATGCACACAGTGAATTCTTACTTTCTTTTTCCTGAAAGCTTAAGCTTTAAATACTGCAATTTTATTTACAGATCTATACATAAACAAAAGTGAAAACAAGAACCACAACAAAAATAAAACAAAACAAAATAACACTTTTAAAAAATTACAAAACAGCTAGAAAATATTCTGGCAGTGTTTACAAATTAGTTGCTATTTTTGTACAAAATTGCTAAATAATAAAAATGTGAGCAAACTACATATCAACTTCAATAAAACAACTGCTATGCAGAACCCTGTACATATAAACACACACCTAACACTGTCATGCTAATGTGTTGCCCTTTATTCATTTTATTTTCTAAGGCTCATGCAGTCATAATTCGCACACTTGTAACTTTCAGCCATACAATATGTGAGCTTTAATAGCAGCAACCAATGGTACCAGGAAACCTGCATACTTAGAACTTAAAGTAATGCAAAAACTGGTACTTACTAACTCACTTTGTGGGCTCAGATACTAAGTCAAAAAGAAAATGACGATGCAAGAATACAGTATGGACATCTAATTAATGTACATCAGTTAAGCCCAGCAACCGGAAAAATCTTATGCATGAAGAAACTTTTAAGATTTACTAGGATTCCTTTAGTTTTTAAAACAATAAATACAGCATTACCTTACAAAAAGTTTCAACAAAACACACAACAACCTAGCCAGGTGAGTTGTCTTTAGATGTTGCAAAAAATCAGCTTTGTGCAGCTGGCAAAGATAATTACACAAAGCTGAAAGTAGAGGCAGCTAACCAGATGAGATAGATATGGGAAACAGGGAAAAGCTTGGCATAAATGGTTTCCCATACAGGAAAAAAAACCTCAGTGCATTTCTAGTAGACAACACAAAGCTCCCTCTCCCTCCTCCACCCCAATGCTTCCTCTCGGACCACACTGATGTTTTGTACTAAGTCTAGTGTGTGTGAAGGGAGGAGACCACAGGTGGAAGCTGAAGAAGAAAAAGGCAGATAGTCTTCACCTTTGTTTTTTTCCCAAACTTACACCCATGCACACCCACACAAAGAGTTTAAAGCACTAGTGTCATCTGTCTTGACCCCACAACCACTTTGCATATTGTAGAAATCTTCCTGCAGTAAACTGGCTGGGGCTTTTGTGTTTTTTTGTTTGTTTGTTTTTATTTCCTAAGGGATATTTTCAATTCAATTAAACATGTATGAGTTGAGTGCCTACTGTGTGCCTGCCACTGGGTCAGGCACATAGCATTTCAATTTAACTGTTCATTTTGAGGTTTGTTCTTTATCTGACTCCCTCATTCCCACAGTCCTTAGTATCCAAAAAATGGATTGAAGGTACTATGCCATATTCCCAGTGGGAGATGGCCATTGCCTCCTGCCAATGGGAAAGCTATTCTTCAACGTAACTGGTAGGATTTGCAGCTGACACAAACCCTCCAACTTGGGACGCCATTCCTGAAGAGTAAAGCGGGAAATGCCCTGGCATTCTTCTGCTCCATGTTCTACATCCTGGCTTTCCTTGGTCCAACTCATTCCTTCATAGAGGAAGGGGAACAGGGTCTAGCCAGAATGATTCCAGCCTCTGACACAGTGGGAGCCCCCTGTTCCTGCCAGCTTAAGAAAATGCCACTCACACAATGGGAATGTCTTTCTCCCTAGAGGCCTCTCCACCTGACCCCATCCTGAGAAGTGGTCTCCGAGTGCAGCGTTAACAGTCCTTTCCCAGTAACAGAGGTGTGGGAAGCACAAGGATTAAGGGATCCATGCCTGCTGCTCCTTGGGACTGTTACATCATTTGACCTGGTTCTCCTTTCCAATGGGTCACTCCTGTCAGCAAGCCCCAGGACTGACTTGCTCCAAGCTGGGAGTGGAAGCAAGATGGGACAATGCTTCTTGCAGAGCCTGATAAACCTCAGATCACACAGGTTTAGATGTTCTAATCAGGAGAGGTTCTGTCCCTCTGCTTATGTAATGTGAATTTGTAAAATTTCCTTCAAAGTAAGCAATTAAATTGAAATGGTGATGAATGTCACAGGAATACATAAATGGCAGCTAAAAAAAATACAAAAAGTCTAAAATAATCCACAAAGAACTAAGTAGGCATTTACTACAAATCAACTGGAAAGTCACAAACATGTGGGGGATAGGGGAGTGGGCACAGTTTATGGAGATAGAAAAATCCACAACAGCTTAGAGTGGCAGAACTCTACTAGTCTTCTGTAACTGCAACAAGTATATTTGAAAACAGGTTCTTCATCCTAAAGGCTATGGAGCTTTTAAGGGTTTTGAGGAAGTTTTGTGTCCCCTCCTTCTGGGACACAGAGTCCAGAGCTTAAATTGAATTTAAATATTTCTAAGAAGAACTGAAGTCCATTTCATACTTTTGCATGACTTCAAGTTTGCATTTGCGGCAGTTCCATTCCATATTAGCATACCCCAAAGGCATACATTCTGTGGAGAAGGCAGAGATTGAAATGCTATTAAGGAAGATCATTGTTTACCAGTGGGTCAGGTGGCCAGACCCCATTCTACAGCCCATCTGTCAGCCACAGCAAGCCAATCCGGGAAGAAGGAATGGAGGAAGAAAAAGTTAGAGTGAGAAACACCTGATTGCATATTTTTTCATTTCCTGACTTATCCAGGAGATCATGGAGCCTGGAGAAAAGCAGGGTTTTCCCAAGGGAGCCTGCAACTGTGCATTTAGACAAGTTGTTTATTTTTTTAAATTCATTAAAATGTCAGCTTTCTTCTGAAGTCTGTAGTTTACTTCATGATAATTTCTTGGAGGAAGAAAGTAGGAAGGGACCACACTGCATGACAGATGTTCTGGTCCCATGATAAAAAATTATTGATTTGTAAGGAGAATGCACATGAAGCATAATCAACCATACCTGAAGTCTTCCACCAGTGGAAGCTTTTCCAAATCATCAGCATCAAAGATATCACTGATGCCTTCCTCCTCCCCAAGGCTCAGGAGACAGTCCTCTTGCAGCAGGGGAGGCAGTAAGTTTACAAATGGTCCTTCTAGGTTAGAAGGAATTTGGTCCTCAGTCTGCTGTAAAAAGTTGGCTGGGGAGGCCAAGGGAGAAAGGTTTGCCATAGAAATTGACCAATCGCCATGTCCTGTGTTGGTTGAATCCAAGTCGTTGGAATTGGGTTTAGAGATATTCCCATTGTGGTCTTGGTTGTTTGTTTTCACTGGATTGTGTGTTTCCATCTCTTCCGGACAGGAGTAAACCTCAATTGGTCCTTGGGTACTTGCCAAATGTATCTGTAGGCTCTCTATTGAGTAAAGTGCTTCAAGTCTTGTTTCTGGAGGGGCTTTCACAACTTATAACCATTTGGTCTTTAAGACCACTAAGTTTTCAAATATCTTGATACGTAACATAAGCTAACCTTTGATTCTCTGAATCTGCGGTTAATAGTTTGAGGTCCAGGGTATAGCTTTGGATCAGTTCATCTAATTTTTTCTCTTCCTGACTGAGCTTGGTTGCTTCTTTTGACAGGCCTTGACATTGGGCCAGCATGTCCTCATCCTCAGACAGACTGTAGCCCACTGGATGTTTTCCTTCTTCCTTTTCTTTAGACAGAGTCTTGCTCTGTTGCCAGGCTGGAGTGCAGTGGCGCAATCTCGGCTCACTGCAACCTCCACCTCCTGGGTTCAAGCGATTCTCCTGCCTCAGCCTCCCGAGCAGCTGGGACTACAGGCACACACCACCATGCCCAGCTAATTTTTGTATTTTTAGTAGAGACAGGGTTTCACCATGTTGGCCAGGATGGTCTTGATCTCTTGACCTCGTGACCTGCCCACCTTGGCCTCCCAAAGTGCTGGGATTACAGGCATGAGCCAAAATGCCCGGCTATTTTTAGACTTCTTAATGAGGGAGATGCTTTGAATGTTGGTGATATCATAAGTCCTTCTCTTTTGTACTTTTAGCAGTTTTTCTGCCTTGTTCAAATCCAAGACCCCATGGAGAGACTGGCTCAGGAGCTGAATGAACTTCTTGGTGAGCACACCAAGGGATGTATCATATGGCGTTTTTCTGAGGGAGATTTTTGGAGTTTTAGGACTATCTGGACTTCATAGAGCAGCTCTTCTTTTGCCCTCAGGGGTTTTGAAACCATCTGAGAGGTACTGTGAGCGCCTTTCCTAGCTCTAGGCTTCACTTTGCCTGCTGCTGTAAGGGCATTTCCGAAACCAACCTGGCTCAGCAGGGGAAGATGGGAGGCCAGCTAGAGAGGGGACCCGGAGGGCCAAACAGACCAGTGGTGTGGGGGTGAAGGCGGGCACCAGTGGGGGACTAGGGAGAGAAGATAAAGGGTGGTGGTGCTGGGCAGATGCGAGGGCGCTGGGACTGTCCCAGGCCAGGAAGCCTGTGTGCAAGAGGAAGTGGTTCCCTAACTCTCCAGCAACCCCTGCTGCCTCCTGCTTTGTAGTCTATTTCCAAGTAAGGTAATGTGATGCCTCCAACTTTGTTCTTTTTGCTCAAGATTGCTTTGGCTATTCAGGGTCTTTTGTGATTTCATATGAATTTTAAGATTCTTTTTTCTGCTTCTGGGAAGAATGTCATTGGTATTTTGATAGAGATTGCATTAAATCTGGAGATCACTTTGGGTAGTATGGACATTTTAACATAGTTAATTCTTCCCATTTATGAACACAGAAAAATCCACACTTTGTGCAATCATATATGCTAGCTTTATAAGGCAGTGCTTGCACTGTTCACTGTTGACAGAAAATACACTAGAGTGCAATGTCATATCATCATAATCTTTAAACACAATACTTTTTCACGTTGAGGAGAAATCTATCTAGATCAAAGAAAGACTACTTATTCACTGACCTTTGATCTTTGATTCTGTGAACAGCAACCAGAGCAGACTAAAATCCTTAGCTGCAAAATTTGCATTCTGCTCTCAGGATTATAATAATTGTAGGCAAGAATGGACCAGACAACAATTTTAAATAAGCAAACAAATCTTAACAGTTTATCTCCTTTTCTTTCCATTTTAGAGGACAAGTAAATATGCCCACATGGTTTATTACCTGAACCAACTTAATCTTTTTTTTTTTTTTTGAGACAGAGTCTCATTCTGTTGCCCAGGCTGAAGTGCAGTGGCATGATCTCAGCTCACTGCAACCTCTGCCTCCTGGGTTCAAGTGATTCTCCTGCCTCAGCCTCCTGAGTACCTGGGATTACAGGTGCCCACCACCATGCCCGGCTGATTTTTGTAGTTTTAGTACAGACAGGGTTTCACCATGTTGGCCAGGCTGATCTCAAACTCCTGACCTCAGGTTATCCACCCGCCTCGCCCTCCCAAAGTGCTGGGATTACAGGCATGAGCCACCATGCCCGTCCCCAACTTACTCTTAAATATACATATGCTCTACCTGTTGCCCAGATTTTATCTATATTGTAACAAAACAAAATCATGTCTGCAGTGGACATTCTACAACATTCAAATTGATAGTATCAAAGGATTCCTTAGGCAACTGGGTAATTTTCTCAGTTATCCATGGGGCATTTGCCTACTATTCCCCCAGTGGGCATTTCAGGAAATCATCTTGCTTAGAACTAGGTACTTCATGAGAACATTAGTGAATCCCACCACTGTTTCCCACCTGGGCTCATTAGATGCTTGGTATCATCTTTTTGGAAAACAGAAATTTTTAAGATAAAGCAATCTATATGATGTACTGTGTGCAATGTAAAATTACTTGATCTCATGTGAAGCTAATATTCACTATAGATTGTTTCTTAAATTTATTAATAGCCTATCTAATTTGTAAAGCCTATAGGTTTACCTTTCTAAGCAGAATCGGATACTACGACTTCAAAACTATATTAGAAAGTATAATTTTGGGGCCACGCATGGTGGCTCATGCCTGTAATCCCAGCACTTTGGGAGGCCGAGGCAGGCAGATCATGAGGTCAAGAGATCCGGACCCATCCTGGCCAACCTGGTGAAACCCCGTCTCTACTAAAAATACAAAAATTAGCTGGGCATGGTGGCGCACACCAGTAGTCCCAGCTACTCGCGGGGAGGCTGAGGCAGGAGAATCGCGTGAACCCAGGAGGCAGAGCTTCCAGTGAGCCGAGATCACATCACCGCACTCCAGCCTGGGTGACAGAGCAAGATGGAGTCATTCATTTTGATATGAATTTAATCATCTCCTAATTAACAGTTATGAGAAATGATATTTTGTATGAGACACCTCCAGATGTTCTAAAGCATATCACATTAAATCAGGAGATAGTGATATGCTTGGACTCATGGTGCGTTAACCCATTGCAGGTTTACCTTCCATGAAAAAAAAAAGTGTATTTTAGTTCACTTTCAATTTCTACCAAAGGTTGTGTTAAGAAACAGCTATATAAATTCCATTTCTGCAATTGTTGTCAAAGATCACTGAGATCATGTTCAATTATCCTATTCATGATACCCTACATATCACTTGTAGGGCATCATCTAGGCATATTTTACCAGTACTGATTTCTGAGTACTGACTCCATCTTTATGAATCTGTATCTCTGGGGCAAGGGACAATGGTGAGTGGTGATGGTGATCCCTGGAATTTGGATCGTTCGTATACCAAACCTTAATGACAGGCAATTTACTCATGTAACGAACTTACACAAGTACCTTTGAACCTAAAATAAAAGTTGAAAAACAAAATGTGTTACCAGATGATGATAATCCATACGGTTTCAGAACCATTACCCATGAATGATGCCAACTGTAGGCTTTATCTCTCAAAATTTGATACCATGAAAAACATCTCTCTTCCTGAGAAGTTTCAATTAACTGTTCTAATCATAATTAAAATTTGTCATACTTTCCTTTAGAAACCAGGAAGCTTGGGGCCATATTTTATAACTGTAACACTATAGCAACTGCATTCCTTTTGATAATTATAAAAGTTATGGCTGGGTGCGGTGGCTCATGCCTATAATCCCAGCACTTTGGGAGGCAGAGGTGGGCGGATCACGAGGTCAGGAAGATCGAGACCATCTTGGCTAAGACGTTGAAACCCCATCTCTACTAAAAATACAAAAAATAGCCACGCATGGTGGCGGGTGCCTGTAGTCCCAGCTACTCAGAAGGCTGAGCAGCAGGAGAATGGTGTGAACCAAGGAGGCAGAGCCAAGATAGCACCACTGCACTCCAGCCTGTGTAACAGAGCGAGACTCCAACTCAAAAAAAAAAAAAAAAAAGTTACTTTTCTTCACTTGACCTTTGTCTACTAATTCTTTTCTTACTAACTTGTTAAATTTGTCTTGTTTCATAAGTTACGTCAAATCATTCTTGAAAAAGTCAGGGTACAAACAGAATAGAAAAGAATGCAATAGATGAACTAGAATTACACAAAAGACAAAGTAAGCAGTATGTTTCTTGAGAGACTTCTATTCATGGTAGTATGAGGAATAGATATCCAGAAAACAACTACTCAATTCAAAACACATAAATATGCCAGGATAATAAAGCTGACTTTATCTTTTATAACGTATAGCTAAGGAAATAACAACAAAAAAAAAAGTCTAAGGGACCAAAATGAGAGAAAGCATGAGTTGAAAGGTCATTATGTGCAGAAGTGAGCAGCTGCCCTGGGGACCCTGCTGATCCTTGGTGGTCTAAGCTTTGCTTTAATGAGTTTCCGGCAAGGTGGATGCATGGGAGGGGCTGCCAGGAAACAAAGCCTCAAGGTCGAGCAAAGTTGGAAGTCATAATTGGCATCTCCATGTAAAGCCAAGAACACTGAAGGGTGACACAATCTTAAAATGAGAGTTCTGAGGAGACGAAACTTCAGAATGCTGAAAGGTGACAGACCTTTGAATATGAGAAAAGTAAAAATGTCCTGGTTTTGCTTTGTTTCTCTGTAGAGGAAAAAAACAAAAGATGGTTGCCTTAAGAATTTGTAACCACAAGTCTATTTTCACACAGATTTGAGTGAATATTCGCACAACCAGTATTGTCTTTGAAATCATTAAGCAAGAATTCAGCTAAAAATGGTCCTTGGTCTGCAAGGGTCTGGGGAGCACCTGTCACAAGAATATGGAAACTCCAAAGGAATCAACTTAAACCAAGTCCTCAAAGACTTTTTTCATAAACTTCTTACAAGCCTAAGTATAATAATAAAGGAAAAATACCCAGAGAAATATACCACCAGGAGCAGGAGTCAGCAAACAGCAGAATCAGATCAGCAAAAACTGTGGATATTGGTAGTATCGCATACAGAGTATTAAAAATATTTAATCTGTGTAAAGAGAAGTAAAAGCTTAATGAAAACATGACTAAGTATAAAAGACTATCAAAAACGACTAGGCCTATTTGAAAAGAACCTAATGGAATTCCTGAAAAATAAAAATAGAATAAAAAATTGGAAACTCAATGAAAAGGATATCCTCAAAATGGATAATTTCATATAATGTTAAGTGAAATAAGCAAAACACCAATTACTTATAAGATGCTTCCACTTATACAAAGACATGGAAAAACTAAACATAAATTGTTTAGTAATAAACAGACAAGTAGTAAGCCTATTTTTCAAAATTAAGAACAAAAGCTCAAAACTTCAAGATAGTGATTCTTTTGCTAGAAGGTGGAGAGATAAGGATGTAAACAAGAAGGAGCAAAGGGGAAGAGCTTAAAGGTACCAGCAATATTCTATCCCTCAAGATGGGCTGTGCCAATTTAGGTGTTAACTTTATTACTACTGAAGCCTTTACACACTAGTTTCCTGCACTCTTCTGTATACAGCAAATATGTATAAGTTATTTTAAAAATACAAAAATAAGGAGAAAGCTTCTGATTGGACTTACAAAACTAGAAAACATTGTAAGTTGAAGAATTTTCAGACATGCTCATTTCATATACTAGATTCCAATAACTACTGTGGAAATGTCATAGATTAGATCTATGAGTTGAAAGTATAAAGGAGCTCACTATTACGGAAAAAGGTATATGAGGGGAGTAATAAACTCGAGGACAGTTTTACAGAGCTGGAAAAGCATAAAGAGACCTACAGCATGGCATGAGTTTACAGGAAATGGTAGGAGAGCTACAGTAAACACTCATTGGCTGCTTCAAACCTGATCACAACTTTAATTCCTTCTCCTCAGAAAGTTTTTAGCTAAGTCCAAAGGAAGACTAAACTAGGAAAGTAGGTATATTTTGAGAGGCCATTTGGAAAATGGTAGTTTTTTAGGAAAACTTTCTTATAAGCCAACATTATTATATTCTGTGAAGCAGAGGATACCTGCCTTCAACTTTCAGAAGTTACTTGAAGTGAATGTCATTATGCAAATTCAAGCAATCTTAATATCCTTGTTACTTACCCACTTGGAATACAATTTTGTCTCAACTCTTGGCACAAAACTGACAGCTTTAATCATGACGTCATAAACATTTAGAAAGATATCTATATAGTCACTCAACTCAGGTTCAAACTTAATGGTGTCATTATCAAGAATCAGCCTCATGATGAAACCTGGATGTTCAAAAGCTCTAACAGAATCCTGCAAAAAATTAAAAAATTTACATACATAAATATGTATGAATTGTGACAGACTAAGTAGTACACCAGTCCCAATTAGAATACATGGGAACCCACACTTTCTCTTATGACCCAGACAGCTAAGCCAAGGAGGAGCTCTAATAAAAAGAGCAAGAGTGATTCTGAGCTACAGTTGATGATATCCAGTATCCATTGGGACTACAGGTCAACTACAGGGTCAAAGTCCCAGAAAAACAAGCGTACATAGCAGTGGAGTTCTAGAATCATACAAGATAGAGCCCAAGAGAAGAACACTCCAATTCCAAGGCCCTGCTCACACTGCAACAGGACCTCCTTCCAGAAACAGAAATGGTTCTTCTTTGCTAAAGTTACCTCATGGTAACTTTCTCCAGCCTTCATGACCCAAATTTCCCAATTATGTGAATTTTCACTAATCTTATCTCTAGTCATGACAATCATATATCCTAAATATGCAGGTTGACATTAACTCTTTTTTTTTTGAGACAGGGTCTCGCTCTGTTGTCCAGGCTGGAGTGCAATGGCACAATCTTGGCTCGCTGCAGCCTCAAACTCCTGGACGCAAGTGCTCCTCTCACCTCAGCCTCTTGAGTAGTGGGGACTACAGACATGTGCCACCATGCCTGGCTGACAATTTTTTCTTTTAAGATAAGTGTAATAGGTCTAAAGATGTACTTTCTGCCCTCTCACTGATAGAGATGTTATTTTCCTCTCTGAAATAATTAAAAATAAATAAATTTGTAAATACATATTGGTGAACTGAACCATACTTACTGGGGGTTGTGCAATTAAGTCCGTGAAATCTTGCATGGAGACTAAAGTGAGGTCCTGCAGCTGTAAAGTCATAAGTGCAGCAGCACAGTTGAAAAAAGATTCCAATTTGGCACTGCTGTCACCAGTTGGCAATTGCTTTTTTTTATTACCTTGGTAATAAATATTCTGCACTTCTGGAAACCACCTTGAAAGAACAAAAGACTTTTAAAAGTCAGTGCTTTCAGTGAATTACTCCTTTTATATTAAGCATTAACACTAATTTCTGGACATCTAAAGGTCTTCATAGAGAAGTATATTGCTAAATGATATTACCCACTCTCCGAAATGTAAGTGTTAAAATATGTCACTTCTAGGAAAAGAAATTTTAAATCTTAGCCAATAGAAAATTACTCAGTGATGTGATGCTGTGAGAAAGACATAATTCTAACTCCTGGAACTATGGCTCCTGACTTTTTAAAGAAATATAGAACTAACTTTACTGGATATTACAAAATACTCCTCTCCAATCTCCTAAATATTATCTAGGGAATATATTTGTTAGTTTAAAGTTAAAATGTGAATAACTGATTAACCAAGGGAGGGCTTATACCATGTTCAATACACTTGGTTGTTTCATGCTATTCTATCTGTTTACAGTTACTTGAAAACAATTTACAAATCAACAAAATCAGGTATTTATTTTCTCATTCCCCTTAATGTGATATCCTGAAAGAGTGTCTGATCTAAAACAAAGTTTCGAATGTGTATGTGTCCTTGTAATAAAAGGATTACAGTGTAATTTCATATATAGGTACATAATGATGATAATAAGCAAAGTTTTCAACTTATAAAACCACTCTCCAACACTACAGAATTTTAAAATACTGTTATCTTTTTTTATAAGAGATAATGAATTTTTTAAATAGTCAATATAATTTCAGGAGTTTCCTGAATGTTCCAAGAGAGAAAATCTAAATTTGAAATATATTTATTCATCCCTTTAACAAATATGTGTTAAGTGTCTACTACATACTAGGAACAGTGTTGTAGAAGATATAAAAAATATGGTATCGGCTGGGTGCAGTGGCTCACACCTGTAGTCTCACCACTTTGGGAGGCCAAGGTGGGTGGATCACCTGAGGTCAGGAGTTCAAGACCAGCCTGGCCAACATGGTGAAACCCCATCTCTACTAAAAATACAAAAATTAGCTGGGTGTGGTGGTGAGTGCCTGTAATCCCAGCTACTCGGGAGGCTGAGGAAAGAGAATTGCTTGAACCTGGGAAGCAGAAGTTGCAGTGAGCCGAGATGGTTCCATTCCACTCCAGCCTGGGTGACGAGAGTGAAACTCCGTCTCAAAAAGAAAAAAAAAAAAGATGGTATCATCATTTCTCTCATAATAATAAAGGCAATGTGTCATAAAAGAAAAAAAAATCTGAAATAAAAGGATAGATATAATTTTCCATTTAAATAATGAAGAAGGGTTTCATAGTGAAGATGGCAATTTCACCAAAAAAAAAAAAAAGATGGAAAAGAGAATGAGGAAGGCCCTGAGAGAAAGATTCAAAGTGGAAGAATTATAAAGAAAAATAAATGGAGTAGGTAGGGTTATCAGATCATTTCAGTGTCTAAAATAGACAACAGAATAGAAAACAGGAAGAAATACACAGGGGAAGGTCCAGTTCAGGCAAGAGATGAAATAAGTTTAGGTCTGCAGAACTGGAAAGAGGACAAATACGATGTATTTTAAAAAGTATTCAATTGCTCATTCTCTCAAAAATATTTATATGACTCCCTATTATGAATGAAACATTTGGGGTACAAAAGATTTCTTAATTCTCAAAGTGCTTAATAGATCAGTGAAGGAAAAGAGGCACATACATACATAAATAAATATTGTTTTTAAAAAGGACTTAGAAGAGAACAAAGTACTGGAGGCATTCATAAGGAAGATATCACTTTTGATGAGATAACAGTAAAAATTTCATGAAAGAAGGGTCATTTAGGCTGGGTATTGAAGGACAGAAGAGAGTCTTCTCCAGTAATGACCTGCATCAAGCATTCTAAATAGTGTAAACCATAACAGTTTGCTGATAGTGTGCAAGAGGTCCTTATTCCATTTTAATCTCCTTAACCTCTAATTCAATCTTTATAATTAGTCAAACAAAGATGACAATGCTAAGAGTCTCAGAGTTTCAAGTTTTCATAGCACTCCCATCTCACAAATGAAAACAAATAAGGAGTAACTAATTACTTTAAAAATCAGTAATTGGTTAAAAGGGGGAACAAAGAGCCTTCAAACTTAGTCCACAGATGGATTTTTAACAGTGGTAAGGTGTGGTTACAGACTATTCATAGAAGTTATATTCTGTTTTATTTAACATGACTATTTCTACAGGCATGATCCAAGGTGAAAGTCTTTTTAGAACTGAGGATGGAGAAGACAAGTTAGATCTATATTACAGAAAACCTTTAAAGGCATATTAAGAAATATGGACTTACTTTCTCAACAAAAGGGAGGCACTGAACTGGGGAATATTTTAAGACTCATCGAGCAGTGGTTTACAGGCTAGGCTTGAAAAAGAAAGCTACCAGAGACAAAGGAATATGGCAGTTATTCAGATTTTGCAATAGGCTATATGGGAGGCTAAGAGGGCCAGCCAAGGGTAGTAGTCCTGGGGATTAAGAGGAAGGGATACACATGCAAGTTGCTTCTGAGAGTAGATCAAAAATAGTTGATGGTCATAAAATAAGTCTCAATAAATGTAAAAGGTTTAAAATCATACAAAATCATTAATCAATAACAGAAAGACACTTAGAAATTCACAAATATGTCTAAAGTAAACAACACATTTCTAAATGGCCTATGACTCAAATAAGAAATCATAAGGGAAATTAGAAAACAAGATGAATGGAAACGAAAACACCACATAGCATAACTCAGGGAATGCAGCAAAATCAGTGATTAGAGGGAAATTTTTAGCTGTAAACACCTATGTCAAAAACAAGGGAGGGCTGGGCATGGTGGCTCATGCCTGTAATAATCCCAGCACTTTGGGAGGCTAAGGTGGGACGATTTCTTGAGTCCAGGAGTTCAAGACCAGCCTGGACAACATGGTGAGGGTCTGTCTCACACACACACACACACACACACACACTCTTAGCTAGGCATGGTGACATGCGCCTGTGTTCCCAGCTACACAGGAGGCTGAGGTGGGAGGATGGCTTGGGCCCAGGAGGTCAAGAGGATGCAGTGAGCCATGTTCATGCCACAGCAGTCCTGCCTGGGCAACAGCATGAGGCCTTGTGTCAAAAAAAAAAAAAAAAAAAAAAAAAGGGCTGGGTGCAGTGGCTCACGCCTGTAATCCCAGCACTTTGGGAGGCCAAGGCAGGCAGATCACAAGGTCAGGAGATCAAGACCATCTCAGCTAACACCGTGAAACCCCGTTTCTACTAAAAATACAAAAACAAAATTAGCCGGGTGTGGTGGTGGGCACCTGTAGTCCGAGCTACTCAGGAGGCTGAGGTGGGAAAATGGCATGAACCCGGGAGGCAGAGCTTGCGGTGAGCCAAGATGGCACCACTGCATTCCAGCCTGGGTGACAGGGCAAGACTCCATCTCCAAAACAAACAAACAAACAAACAAACAAACAAAAATATATATATATATATAACTAAACTCAAAACAAGAAGGAGAAGGGAGGAAATAAAGAGGTAAGTCCAAACAAAAAAATATTGAATAGAAAAATAAAGAAAAATCAACAAACCTAAAGTTGGTTGTTTAAACAGATCAACAAAACTCATGAACTTATAGTTAAACTGACCAAGAAAAAAGAGCAAAGACTCAAATTGTTAAAATCAGGAATAAAAGGGGAGACACTAATACTAACATTACAGAAATACAAAGAATTAAAAGGGAATATAATATACAATTGTTTGCCAACAAATTTGATAATCTAGAAAAAACGGACAAATTCTATGAAGACAAAAACTACCAAATCTGACTTAAAAAGACATAGAAAATATCAATAAACCTGTAGCAAGTAAAAGAGATCAAATTAATATTAATAATTTACAAACCTTCCAGGAAAAAAAGGCCAGGACTAGATGGCTTCACTGGTAGTTCTAACAAGAATTTAAAAAATTAACACCAAACCAAATGTTTGGTTTGTAAAGAATTCACTAACCAAAAAGGAAAAAAGAAAAGAATGTTTTCCTACTCATTCTGTGAGGTATTACTATAATACCAACTACAAAGACATAACACACACACACACACACACAAAAACTACAGACCAATATCTCATATGAATGAAGACATAAAAATCCTCAACAAAATACTAGAAATCCAAGTCCAGAAGCACATAAAAAGTATTATATGATCATATGTGATGGCTCATGCCTGTAATCCCAACACTTTGGGAGGCTGAGTCAGGAGGATTGCTTGAGTCCAGGAGTTTGAGACCAGCCTGGGCAACACAGTGAGACCTTGTCTCTACAAAAATGAACAAAATTAGCTGGGCACATGCCTGTAGTCCCAGCTACTCAGGGGGATAAGGCACAAGAAACACTTGAACCCAGGAAGCAGGGGTTGCAGTGAGCCAGGATCGCACCACTGCACTCCAGCCTGGCTGACAGAGCAAGGCCCTGTCTCCAAAAAAAGACAGGATTATCTCCATTCCATGACCATGTAGAATCTACCTCAGGAATTCAAGGTTGGTTCAATACATGAAAAATCAATGTAATACGCCATATTAATAGAATAAAAGGGAAAAATCACATGATTATCTCAATAGATTCAAAAAGCATTTACAAAATCTAACACTACATGATAAAAAACCATATCTGCTCTTGCTGCTTCTATTCAACATTGTACTGGAGGGTCTAATCAGGGAAATTAGCTAAGGAAAGGAAAAAAAAAAAAACATATCCAGATAGGAAAGGAAGAAGTAAACTGTCTCTATTTGCAGATGATATGATCTTATATATAGAAAGCCATAAAGAATCCACACGCAAAAACCATTAAAGCTAATAAATAAGTTTAGTAAGGTAGTAGAATACAAGATCAATATATAAAATTCAGTTGTATTTCTACACACTAGCAACAATCTGAAGATGAAATTGAGAAGACCATTCCATTTACATAGCATCAAGAAGAATACTTAGAAAAAAATTAAACCAAAAAATGTAAATACATTTTTGTATTTACATTTAATACATATAAAATTACATACATAATTACATACAAAAAATGTAATACACATATACTGAAAACTACACGACATTGTTGAAATAAATTAAAGAAGAACTAAATAAATGGAAAGACATCCTGTGTTCATGAATTGAAAGACTTAACATTATTAAGTTAAAATTAATGTACAGATGTAATGCATTCCCTATTAAAATCCCAATGGCATTTTTTAAAAAATGGACAAGTTGCTACTAAAATGCATATAAAATACAAAGGACTCAGAACAACAACAATTTTTCAACTCAGAAAAATAAGAACAAAATTGGAGGACTCACACTTCCTTATCTCAAAACTTACTACAAAACGGTTTGGTACTGGCATAAAGACAAATAGGCCAATGAAACAGAATAGAGAGCCCAGAAATAAACCCTCCCATATATGGTCAAATGATTTTCAGCAAAGGTGCCAAGACAACTCACTCAGAAGAGTCTTGCACAAATGGTGCTCAGACTACCAGATATCCATATGCAAAATAATAAATTTGGGCTCCTACCTCAGACCATGTATAAGTTAAAATGAATTTGGTTTGTAAAGGTCAAAAAGGCCTAAATGTAGGAGCTACAACTATAGAATGATTAGTTCTGTTTACCACACAGGAAAACAGGTAAATCTTGGTGGCTTTGGATATGATACTGATATGGTTTGGCTGTGTCTCCACCCAAATCTCACCTTGAATTGTAATAATCTCCATGTGTCAAAGCTGAGACCAGTGGAGATAATTGAATCACAGGGGCAGTTTCCCCTGTACTCTTCTTGTGGTAGTGAATAAGTCTCACGAGATTTGTTGGTTTTATAAATGTGAGTTCCCCTACACATGCCCTCTTGCCTGTCGCCATGTAGGACCGGGCTTTGCTCCTCATTTGCCTTCCACCATGATTGTGAGGCCTCCCCAGCCATGTGGAACTGTGAGCCAATTCAACCTCTTTCCTTTATAAATTACCCAGTCTCAGGTATGTCTTTATTAACAGTGTGAGAACAGATTAACACAGATACCAAAAGGCACAAACAACCAAAGAAAAAACATAAATGAGACTTCGTCAAAATTAAAAATATTTGTGCTTCAAAGGATACTATCAATAGGAGAAATATTTGCAAATAATATAATTGATAAGGGTCTAGTATCCAGAATATACAAAGAACTCTTAAATCTCAACAACAAAATATCAGATATTTTACATGTCAAAAATAAAAATCAGACAACCCAGTAGAAAATGAACAAAGGGTTTGAATAGACATTTTCCAAAGATGACAAATAAACAGACAATAAGCCCATAAAAAGATAGTCAACATCATTGGTCATGAGGGAAATGCAAATCAAAATCATAGTGAGATACAACTTCATAACCACGAGGGTGGCTACAAGCAGAAAGATGGACAATAACAAGTGCTGGAAAGTGTGTGGAGAAATTGGAACCCTCATAAATTGTTGTTAGGAATGTGAAATCTTATAGTCACTTTGGAAAACAGTGCGAGTGTTCCTCAAAAAGTCAGAATTACCATATAACCCAGCAATTTCACTCCTAGGTATACAGTCAAGAGAACTTAAAAATATATTTATGCAAAATAAATGTTCATAGCAAAAACAGCCAAAAAGTGGAAACAACCCAAATGTCCATTACCTGATGACTGGATGAATAAAATGTCTTATATCCATATACTGAAATATCATTTGGCCATACTGAAGTATCATTTGGCCATGAGAAGATATGACATATTGATACATGCTATAATATGAATGAACTTTGAAAACATTATGCTTCCTGTAAGAAGCCAGGCATAAATGACCATATATTCACTGAGACGAAATGTCCAGAGTAGGGAAATTCATAGAGACAAAAAAAATATTAGCATAGTTACCAGGCACCTCTGGGTGGAAGAATGGGAAATGGCTGCTAACAGGTACAGAGTTTCTTTCTAGGGCGTATTAAGCCATTCTTGTGTTGCTATAAAGAAATATCTGGGACTGGGTAATTTATAAAGAAAAGAGGTTTAATTGGCTCATGATTCTATACGCTGTAGCAGCATGGTTCTAGCATCTGATTCCAGTGAAGGCCCCAGGAACATTATAATTACGGCAGAAGGTGAAGGGGGAGCAGCCATGTCATGGCCAGAGCGAGTGCAAGAGAGCAAGGAGGAAGGTGCCATACACTTTTAAACAACCAGATCTTGTGTGAACTCAGAGCAAGAACTCACTTATTATCATGAGGACAGAACCAAGCTATTCATGAGTGATCTGCCCCCATGACCAAACACCTCCCACCAGGCCACACCTCCAACACTAGGGATTACGTTTCAATATGAGATTTGGAGGGGACAAGCATCCAAACTATACGGCATGGTGAAAATGAAAATGTTCTGGAACTAATGGTAATGGTTGCACAACCTTGCGAGTATATTATCAACTACTGAATTGTACACATTAAAGTAGTGAATTTTATGGTAAATGAATTATTTCTCAATAAAAAAAGAATAGCAATACATTGGGTACCGCTGGAAGCAGAGCTAAAATTTCATGCTTTCTTACATGAAATTTCAAAAGAGAACAAAAAAAGTCCCAAGGTTTTCAACTTGGCCTAGTAATGGTTCACAACAGGAAGAGTAGCAGGTTTGGAACAAAGAGAATAAGCATTGCTAGAAACATGCTGAGATTCAGGTGCTGACGTGACATTCAACTAAAGATATTCAGTATTACATTGGTCTGGGCAAAGATGTGTTGAGGAATACCTAAAAGCACAGGCAAGAAGGCAAAAATTAACAAACAGGATAACATCAAGCTAAAAAGCTTTGCATAGCAAAGGAAACTAGACAAAGTAGAGAGACAACCTACAGAATGGGAAAAAATGTTTGCAAACTATTCATTGTACAAAGGATTAATAACTGGAATACATAGAGAACTCAAACAACTCAACAGCAAAAATCCAAATAATCTCACTAAAAATGGGCAAATGATTGAAATAAACATTTCCCAAAATAAAATGTACAAATAGCCAACAGGTATATGAAGAATGCCCAACATTCCTATTCATCACGGAAATGCAAATCAAAAGCACACTGATGCCAACATTCCTATTCATCAGGGAAATGCAAATCAAAAGCACACTGAGATATTATCTCACTCTGGTTAAAAATGGCTACTATCAAAAGTACAAACAATAACAGATGCTGGCAAGGATGTAGAGAAAGAACTCTTTCCTTCCTTCCTTCCTCCATCCATCTCTCCCTCCCTGCTCTTCTTCTTCTTTCTCTCTCTTTTTTTTTTTTTCTTGAGCCAGAGTCTTGCTCAGCCACCCAGGCTGGAGTGCAGTGGTGTGATCTTGGCTCACTGCAACTTCCACCTCCCAGGTTCAAGCGATTCTTCCACCTCAGCTTCCCAAGTAGCTGGGATTACAGGTGTGCGCCACCACACCCTGCTAATTTTTGTATTTTTAGTAGAGATAGGGTTTCACCATGTTGATTGTGGTTTCAAACTCCTGACCTCAAGTGATCTGCCCACCTCAGCCTCCCAAAGTGCTGGGAGTGATAGGTGTGAGCCACCATCCCTGACAAAAAGAGGAACTTTCATACACTGTTGGGAACACAAATTTGTACAACCACTAGAGAGAACACTACAGAGGTTCCTCAAAAAACTAAAATTACAGCTACCATATAATTCAACAATTCCACTGCTGGGCATATACCCCAAATAAAGGAAATCAATATATCAAAGAGATAGCTGTACTCCCATGTTTATTGCAGCACTGTTCACAATAGCCAAAATACAGAATCAACTTTGGCCCATCAGTGGGTGAATAGATAAAGAAAATATAGTGTGTGTATGTGTGTGTGTATAGTATATAAAATGTAAACAAAATATAAAATGTACATAAAATATAGTATATAAAATGTAGTTTATATACACAATGGAATATTATTCAGTCATAAAAATGAATATAATCCTGTCATTTGCAGCAACATGGATGAGCCTGGAGGACATCGTGTTAACTGAAATAAGCCAGGCACATAAAGATAAATATCACATGCTCTTATTCATATGTGGAAGCTAAAAAAACATTGATGTCATGGAGGTTGTAAGTAGAATGGCGGTTAAGAGAAGCTAGGAAGGGCAGGTTTGGGATGGAGGATGAAGAGAGGTTGGTTAATACGCACAAAAATACAGTTGATAGAAGGAATAAGTTCTGGTGTTTGACAGCAGTGTAATGTGACTATAGTTAACAAGAATTTATAGTATATTCCAAAATAGCTAGAAGAGAAGATTTGGAATGCTCCCAACACAAAGAAATGATAAATGTTTGAGGTGATGGATATGCTAATTACCCTAATTGAATCATTATGCATTGTATGAATGCATCAAAATATTCCATTAATATATGTACCCTATATATGTACAATTATTATGTATCAATTTTAAAAATTGATAAGACAGGCCTAAAGCTCAGAAGACAAAATCTTGAGGCAGAAGAATTCATGAAATTGTCAAGAAAATATAAAGAAGAGAGATAACAACAAAGACCTGGGGAACCCTACTTGTAGGGAATAATAATAAGTAAAGCCAGAAAAAGATAAATGGAAGAAGAACTAGAGAAACACAGCAGCACAGAAAAGCGGGTTTCCAGAAGTCTGGAAACCACACACTGTGAGTAAAAATGGAAGATGAGGACGATGAAAAGGCATTTGGGTTTGAGGTGGAAGTCATAATTAATCATTTGCTAATTGTTTCTCCTCTGTGAGCTGATGCTCTGCCTTTTGGTCATGATAAACACTTTCTGGCTCACTACTTAAAATATGGTCAGAGAGTTCTTCCCTGAGAATCAATCAGGAAGCATCAAGAGATACAGCTAATCAATCTGCATTTCTCAGCAAAAAAATAATTCAATAAAGGTTTGTACTCTACTCTGTAATTTGACACCCATTTAACTAAAATTTACAGTGGTAATGTATTCCTAGGGTAGAACCCAGAAGTTATAGATCAAGATAATTTATTTGTATCCTGTCCTTAAGAGGTCACTTTCTTCTCTGTAATTAATTATGGGTTTTCATTTTATCACCTCTTAACTCTACTTTTACATTAACTAAATACTAATATAAAATAAAAGGCTAAAGTTTTTTCAAGTAATATCAAAGAATTTTATTCTAACACATTGGAGAAGAAAGCAAGATAAAGGAAATATTTAATCTCAAATTATGAAGATATCTTTCTAAGTAACTTTTAGAAATCATGAAGCTATGCTAGCAGTTTCATGTCCTCTGCTACCTTAAATTTGACTGAATTTTAATGTCCTGTTTATAATAACTTAATGACCCATGAGAGAAACAATTTTCCTAAGTTGCTTCAAAGCATACTGTCTGATTCCCAGATTATGAATTATCATATGTGGCTATTCCATTCCGAAAAGCCAATCCAAGGAGATATTCAATTATCATCTGATAGGTCTGCCTTCTAGTGAGATTTTTTTAATTCATTTAAACGATATACTTTCCCCACTTAACCATTCTTTAAACTCTTCTGCTTTCCCCATCCAAAAACAAAATGAAGGGAGGTACAGAGCCTAGCATGTGTTAACAGCAGATGACAAATACCTGGTGAATAATGATTAGGTAACCATTCTCTCATGGTATTCAGCACCCCTCTCAAAGGATAGGTACAAACCAGACACTTAGAAAAAAGTAACCAGTTGTCATGAACATTTTAGTTTCTGCACAATCTACGCTGTGTAGAACATCTGGACAAATATTACAGACTAAGATAATTAAAGATATTATATTTAAATCATGTAGAAATGATTTAAAACATTAAAATTGGATCTTCTAAAAGCAGTTAAAATGCAGTAGCCCACAATCATATTTTTAAACTTATGCTTTCCTACATGAAATTTCAAACCTTTACATTTTAAGTAGAGTCTCTTTGGCAGAGTCCATGTGTCTCATGATAATGTTCTGAAAACTTGACAGCTCTAATGCATCCTGGCAATTATGAAATTCTTTGATATCAACTAAACGTAATTTTCTGCAAAAGATAAAAATAAACAGTAATTTAACAATGACTTTTTTGGTATTTAATATTTTATTAATTGGTTCCTTCTTAAAAATATCATATTCCTAGGTTTAATCATTAAAAATTGTGTTCTATATAATTAAATGTTAAAGAACACAAGATATTCTAATTTTAAAAATAATTCATATAATTAAATTCAATAGGAACACAACAAAATACATAACTTCACTGTGAAGTAGAAGAAAGTTGCAATAACTGGGATATGAAGGATAGTTTAAACTGGTTTTTGCTTTTAAACTGTAATAATTTAAACAGGAAAAGAGGGAGGGCTCAATGCTTCTAGGATCCACTGCTCTGAAAAGAAAAAATTGCAGCCTCTCTGAAAAGAAAGTGGCCCTCATTTCAGGCAGCCATGGATTGAAGGAGTCTCACATCTAATCAAGAACCAGTATATCAAACTCTTTTGAGCCTGTCTGGTTTTTTTTAAAGAACACAGGGATTACTGGAGTCAACAACTTTCAATACAATCCTTCTTTTGACTACAATGTTATAGATCTTTGTTATACACACGGTTTACTCATCTAAGTATTTTCTCTGTCAGGTTAACAAAAATGAAAGAATAATATTAGCATTAACTTGTTCTTTAAAAAATCACATTTAATGTTTCCTTAAAGACCAATGTAAAATACTGGTTAGTAAATAAAACACATTTCAAATCTATTTCCTTATATTTCTTCCACAAGCTAAAATTCATCTGAGTTATAATGTACTCCGTACATGACATTGATAATAATTAGGCACAAAGTACGTATAACCACTGCTAGAGAACCAATGTGTTATTCTGCATAATTGAGCAATGTAATGTTTTAAATAAAATGTTTAAAATATAGCATAATAGCACATAGTAAACATGATCTGATCTCTTTAGCTTCCTAGTCAATGCTTTCAACATTATTTTACATTTTAAAATTGCAGCTGTAATCAGGATGCAGATGCATGCGGTGTGAGATAGCACTGAATAAGTAGTAGTTGCAAGGGCACAAGCTCTGGAATTCACCTTGCCATTGAGCCACCAGACCAATTTTCCTTAGTTTCTTCGTATTCGATTTGAAACAGAATTCGAGGCATAGAATACCATCTTTGATGTTTTGAGATTGAAAGGTTTTACACAGTACAATAACTTTCCCATGAAATCTCTGCAGATAGCATTACCCATCTGGTCAATAGGATGAATTGTTAAGAAAACAGGAAAAATACTACCAGACACTGTTCTTGCTTTCTCAGGATAGTCCCTACAATAACCCAGCAGTGAAACAATAGTTTAAATCATTGGTTTAAGACAATAGAAAGGATCAGGAAAAAAGATATTACTCACTATGCATTAGCTTCAATTTGGTTAGCAGAAGGAAATGCAAGTCTCTTTAAAAGTTTTATGATGATGAGTCTTCTAATCACCAAAATAACTTCTTGATTGCAATTTTCTATTAGTAGAACCGAACAGCTCCAAATCACCCAGACCATGAAACTCAGGACTGTCTCTGAACTCTTCCTATCCTTTATCTTCCCACATCCAATCAGAAGTGAATTTCTGTAGACCCATCTATTGGTCACATATCCCTCCTGCCCTCACAACTGTCACTTAATGCTCACCCCAAGCTGAAACCCACCCTGACCCCTGGCTCTGTCACTGATTTTCAGGCAGGAGGAATTTCAACAGTCCTGGTCCAATACTCTGGACTTAGCATCAAGTCAGTCTCTACCTTTGTTCTCTGGTTCTCAAAACTAATCTTCTCTCTTCTTACCAAGTTTCCCACAGAAATTCCACTCGAAGTATCTACATTTCTTGGTTGTCCCATGAAATTTTCCCTTTCTTAGGAACATGTTTTGCTTTTGCCGTCCTCCTTTTTTTGTAACTTTCAAAGTAGCACACTATAGGCCAGTGTCCTGCACTTGCTTTTTTCACTGAATATCTTCTCCTGGAGACCTTTTCATATTAACACATCGAGATTTTTCTCACTCATATTTTATAACTACATAATATTCCATTGTGCATAGTATAACTTATTTAACTAGTCTATCAATGGATGCTGGCTTGTTTCCAGTCTCTTATAAACAAATGCCACCATAAATAGCATTATAACTATATCACCTCCTACATTCTCGGGTGCGTCTGTACACTACTTATCCAAAAGTGAAATTGCTGGATTCAAGTGTTACCTGTAATTTGTAATTATGATAGGTATGGCTAGGATTCCCTCAAATGGGAGCCCATTTCTTCAAGCCTTACTAATAAAATGGGATATCAAATTTTGTAATTTGTGGGGAAAACAGTTTCTCAGTATAGTTTTAATTTCAATCTCTTTACATTTCTTGTATTATGAGTTAGGTTAAGCATCTTTTTAACATGTTTAAAAATGATTTCATTTGTATCCTGTGTGCTGTACGGTAAATCAATTATAGTGTTCTTATCTAGTAATTTTTTTCCTAGATTCATCTTCATCAAATAATAAATTTTTAAAAGCCATTTCATCTTTAAAATGAGCTTAACTTTCTCAGACATCTGCTTTTACATTCAACTATGATGATTTATATTACACTGTAATTTCTACATTCTCTTGTGATCTTCATATACGCATTATTTTACAAGCAAAAATATGTGTTGTGTAGGGTATGACTGCATTACAAAGGCTATCTATGACATTAAGTGGGTTCTGTAAGTGTAAATACCAATAACATGAATTTCAACATCTTTTCTAGAGAGCATCTTATCAGGTTTCCAAACTCATGCATTTTAGAGTCACTCAGACACGTTTTTGCATTAACATTCCCCAACCCACTGCCACACATAGAGATGTCGTATATTTTCAAGGTCTGCTGAGATTCAGGGTAAATGACTGCCACTAGAAGCATGCCCTTTGTATTCAATGCTGGCTACTACTCAGAGGGGTAGCCCTTGTTGACTGTCCCCCCACTCTTAATACTCACATAGAGAATAAAAACAACCTAGGCTTTCAAAGGCAACATAGGAGCTTGTGGAGCTCTTCTTTCACCCACAGACTGCAAGGCTTCTTTCCCATGTGTCTTTACCATGGATGCCTTGAAGTTTGCTTCAGTTGCTGCTAACATCTCTGCCACCACAACTACGGAGCCTAATTTTGGACACATACACTTTCTATTGTTTTTTAAATTTCAGCTTTGTTACTTTTTCTTCCCCCTTTTCATTTTCTTATCTCTTGCCTCCTGAAATCGTCTAACAGACCAAGTCTAGCATTTTATGGACAGTAGTAGGTCATGGAGTCCCATCCTTCAGTGTCCAGCTCAGTGTGTTCTGAAAGTGGATATAAAAAAAAACGATAACTTGTGGTGTTGTTTTGAAAATGAAATGTACTAATTTACACAAACATAATTTGTGAAAGTAATATACTATATTGTATGACCTCATGACTGCATGCAAAATTAGATCATGGGCCTTGTCAGCTGAGAAGAGGTATTTTAACTCCAATATTCAAAAGAAAAGAAATGACAAAAACATGGGGCAATGAAGTAGCCTCTTCCTACTTAGTACAAGTCAAATTAAGCAGACAAAGAAATCCATACTGTACAATGGAAAGGTGGAAGAATGCATTTCCTGGAAGTATGTATTCTGAAAGCTAAAGCCAGTTTTAAGGATCCTAGCCCATTCTCTGAAGTCAGCAGAGGCCCCTGAAGTATGTAGAAGGTCAGAATATGTGTTAGAAACCCTGTATAATCTCATTACATTCTGCAGACCTGGGTTCATTCAGCAAAGTAAGCCGAGTCTGTAAGTTCAGAGAGTTCCACAGTGTGCAAATGAAAAGAGGGGAGGAAAAAATAAACTTGAATAATTTACCCACATGGAGAAGGCAAAGCTTCCTAGAAAGGCATTGGAGTGAAACTTCATGCCCAAGTATCCCTCCCAAAAGGGAATCACTCAAAATTTATAAAGAAATTCTGCTGTAAAGAAGAAATGAGAGGGAATTCTGTAAACCGAAAATCTATATAAAAATTACGAACTCTTACTGAAATATATACACGAGATTGAATATTGAAATATATGTAGGATATGAGCGAGAGTGCTTTTTTATTATTTTATTTAATTTTAATTTTATTTTGAGCTGGAGTCTTGCTCTGTCACCCAAGCTGGAGTGCACTGGCATGATCTCAGCTATCTCAGCTCACTGCAACCTCTGCCTTTTGGTTCAAGTTATTTTCCGGCCTCAGCCTCCCAAGTAGCTGGGATTACAGGCGCCCACCACCACACCCAGCTAATTTTTGTATTTTTAGTAAAGACGAGGTTTCACCATCTTCGGCAGGCTGGTCTTGAACTCCTGACCTTGTGATCCACCCACCTCGGCTTCCCAAAGTGCTGGAAGTACGGGCGTGAGCCACAACACTTGGCCCCAAAGTGCTTCTTAATTTAATTACACATGTCTATTTTCTGAGATTAATATAAAAACTTAATAAATTCCAATCAGAACACGGACAATTTTTCTCTTTCCATCTTTCTTTTGAATTAAATAAAATAGGCTTAAACTTAAGAAGGAAAAGTGAATGTTTAAAAAATAGCCAAGAAGAGCATAAAAAATAGAGTTGGGATTCCTCTCACCAAATATAAGCACATGCCATAGAGTCACCCTAATCAAATTAATCTGTACTTGTACGGAAAGAGATTCAAATATTACAAGAAAAAAATAGAGAATCCAGAAAGACATTCTGATTACTATAAATTCTGTAGATTTCTATAGATTGAAGAGTTAATCCATGACAAAGGTGATCGCTCCATTAAGGGGGAAAAGGTAAGATTGTTTAAGAAATGATGCTGGCACAATTGGCTATCTGGAAGAAAATAAAAATGAATTTCATTCTACATCATTGGTAAAAATAACCTTCAGGTGGTCAAAAAACTAAAATGTTAAAAAAATAAAAAAATTTTACTAGTTAGCCAGGAAGATCTCACATACAATTTACTAAATAAGGAGACCTTCTTAACCAAGACTAGGAGAATTCAGAAGAAAACAGAGACATATTTAACAGTATAAAAATTTTTAATTTCAGAGTATCGAAGGAAACTATAAACTCAGTCAATGGACAAATTATAAACCTAAGTTTTAGCAGTTGTTTGATTTGTTTCAGGTACTAGACACAGAACTGAAACCTCTGTTATTCTAAGAGGTTATCAAATTGATAAGAAAAGATGAAGAACCAACAAAACACTGACAAAGATATAAGTAGAGAATTCATAATCAAATTCAAATAACTAACAAACACATGAAAAGATGTTCAGATTCCCTAGTAGTCTAGCAAAGGCAAATCGAAGTAATGATGATATAGCATTTTACATTGATTGACAAATAGTATAATACACATAGTTAGAATTTTAGGGAAAGAAGTTCTCATTTACTGTTGGTAAAAACGTATAGTATCAAACATTTCTGGAAAAAAAATCCAGCAAAATATACTAAAATAAAAACATAAATATGCTATGATCTAGTTATCCCACTTTTGTGAATCTATCCCATGTAAACAAAGGGACCAGTGAATAATAACATATTTACAAGGTTATTTCCTGATGCATTATTCATAGTATCAGAAACTGAAATAAAATAAATGTCCTTGGAATTCAAAGTAATTCCAGATAACACAGAGAAGGAATTCAGAATTCCATAAGATAAATTTAACAAAGAGATCGAAATAATTAAAACAAATAAAGCAGAAATTCTAGAGTTGAAAAACACAATTGACGTGCTGAAGAATGCATCAGAGTCCATTAATAGCAGAATTGGGTTAATGGGTACAAGAAAATATATAGTTAGACAGAATGAATGAGACCTAGTATTTGATAGCACAACCGGAGGACTACAGTCAATAATACTTTAATTGTACATTTTAAAATAACTAAAGGAGTATAACTGGATTGTTTGTAACACAAAGGAAAAATGCTTGAGGGGATGGACACCAAACTTTCCATGGTGTGATTATTAATCATTGCATGCCTCTACCAAAATATCTCATGTACCCCATAAATATATGCATCTACTATGTACTCAAAAAATTAAAAAATTTAAAATTTTAGAAAAGCAGTGTTCACTTTTTGCTCTATATACTTCTTTGTTGTTTATTTAAAACCATGTTTGAATACTTACATTAAAATGGTAATGTTTTACTTTGCAGTTAAAATAGTAAAAGAAATAATTAAGATATAGTAAAACAACTTCCCTCTATATTTTAAAAACCTCTATAAGGCCACATATACTCACTTAAAATTAGTGTGCCACAAATCTAGTACAGCCAGCATTGTGGGGTTCATTGCATTCAAGTGATCCCTAATATAACTGCTTGCAGCTAAAAAAGATTTCCTCCAAGGTTTTGGCAGAATTTCCATTCTGAAAACAAAGAAAATATTTAGTTACAGTCTCAAAAAAAGTATTTTTATAGTAACTGTACATTTTGGGTAATAATTATTTAATTTTAATAAAATATGTGCTGTATCCCTCATCATAATAACAAAACAAGCAATTATGTTTTAAAATATATAAAGATCATATGTTTTATGGTTTAGTATAATTTCATTATAAAAATGACTCTGAAATTAGATTTAAATCTTTAAAACAAAAGGTAACTAATTTTTATCTCCAAATACTTGATCTTATTGAATCCACAAATAATTTACAATGAACAAATGAAAACAGCAGCCAGCTATCTCTCATAAACATCTTCAAAGATTCTCTACTAATTTCAGGACATACATTTAAATTTTCCCTTTATTTTTAAAATTCCTCTTTTATTTTTATTTTTAAAACATTTTAAGGATATAGTCCAACCTTCCCATAGAAATCCCCTTGAACTTTACCCCGTTAATATGTAAACATCATTTATAAATCACAAACACTAACGTTTTTATTTGAAGACACATTTACAGTTAACCCTTGAATAACACAGGTTTGAACTGTGCACATCAACTTACATGTGGATTTTCTTCCACTTCTACCACCCACTCCCCGCACAGCAAGACCAATCTCCCTCTCCCTCCCCCTCCTCCTCCCCCTTCTTCTTTCCCTCCTCCTTCACCTCCTCTTCCTCCTGCTCCTCTATCACTACCACCACCATGTAAAGATTACAAGGATGAAGACCTTTACGATGATCCACTTCTACTTTATGAATAGTAAATATATTTTCTCTTTCTTATGATTTTGTTAATAAAATTTTCTTTTCTCTAGCTTATTGTAAGAATTCAGTATATAATACATATAACACATAAAATATGTTTTAATTGGCTGTTTATGTTATCAGTAAGGTTTCCAGTGAACAGTAGGGTATTAATAGTTAAGCTTTGTTATATATAAGTTAAGCTTATATATTTAACCACGTATAAAAATTATATGTGGTATAGGAGCTCAGTGGCCCTTACCCCCGTGTTAAAGATCAACTGTATTCTGTAACTCTTATGACTTTAATAATCATCTTTTATATATTGAAATGTGCCATCTTCATCTTTCAGAATATATTTAAACATTTACATTTTCTGTGTATATAGTAAGTTTAATTCAATTTTTCATATGTGGCTGTATCACCTTTGCAATTATGAAGGATGATTTTTGTCTTTCCCAGGAGAAAAGTTGTTCTCCCTAGAGGATATGGAAAATGGGTACATAACTTTTTTTGTGTGTGTGTGTGGAATGGGGAATAATTTGGGGCTTTTGTTTTTTTTTTTTTTTTGAGATGGAGTCTCACTCTGTTGCCCAGGCTGGAGTGCAGTGGCACGATCTCAGCTCACTGCAGCCTCCACCTCCTGGGTTCAAGCAATTCTCTTGCCTTAGCCTCTTGAGTAGCTGGGATTACAAGTGCACGCCACCATGCCCAGCTAACTTTTGTATTTTCAGTAGAGACAGGGTTTCACCACGTTGGCCAGAACTGGCCTCAAACACCTGACCTCAAGTGATCTGCTCTTCTCAGCCTCCCAAAGTGCTGGAATTACGGGCGTAAGCCACCGCACTTGGCCTTTGGGGCATTTTAAAATGATATAAAAGAAAATAAAACTGAAGTGGTTATTTAATCATATAAGTTCCATCCTTCAAACTATTTAAGAGATTTATTCCTAAATGTTATTATTAGAGAAAATATACAGCAAGGAGATTTTCCCATTATGTGTTCTATATTTCCATCCATGTAATAAATTGAAATACATTCTATAAATATATATATTCTGTAATGTTCCCAATGTTCCCAAAATCAAGCTTTTATGCCCCTACCATATCTGAAGTCTGTGCTAGTTGCTATGGGGATTAAAAAACCTATATCATATTCTTTCCACCAAGTACTTATGTTTTAACCAACTTAGTGTCCACCTGTCTATGTCTAGTCATCTACCTATCGATCCATCAACTCATAAATGTAACGTTAGGCTTAAATACATAAATAAACAAAGCACATAAGAACAATTAGTTGTATAGAGGCTTGCAATGGAGATATTGCAAGTTTGGTTCAAGACCACCCCCATAAGGCAAATATTGCAATTAAGCACGTCACACAAATTTTTGGTTTCCTAGTGCATATAAAACTTATGTTTATGCTATACTGTAGTCTATTAAGCAGGCAATGGCATTATATCTTTAAAATAAAATATAGGGCCAGGCACAGAGGCTCACACCTGTAATCCCAGCACTTTGGGAGGCCAAGGTGGGAGGATTTCTTGAGCCCAGGAGTTCGAGACCAGCCTGGGCAACATAGGGAGATTGCGTCTCTAAAAAAAAAAAAATTAAATTAGCTGGGCATAGTGATACGCACCTGTGGTCCCAACTCCTTGAGAAACTAATGTGGGAGGATCACTTGGGTCTGGGAGGTTAAGGCTGTACTGAACTGTGATCATGCCACTGCACTCCAACCTGGGAAACAAAGAAACCCTATCTCAAGAAAATTACAAATGAAAAAAGGAATCCAGGTGCAGTGGCTCACACCTGTAATCCCAGCACTGTGGGAGGCTGAGGCAGGTGGATCACTTGAGGTCAAGAGTTTGAGACAAGCCTGGCCAACATGGTTAAACCCTGTCTCTACTAAAAATACAAAAATTAGCCAGGCGTGGTGGTGCACACCTGTAATCCCACTTACTCAGAAGGCTGAGGCAGGAGAATCGCTTGAAACCCAGAGGCAGAGGTTGCAGTGAGCCAAGATCACACCACTGCACTCCAGCCTGGGCAAGAGAGTGAGACCCTGTCTCGGGAAAAAAAAATGTATACACCTTAATTTTAAAATACTTTGTTGCCACAAAATACTAACAATCATCTGGGCCTTTTGCGAGTCATAATCTTTTTGCTGGTGGAAGGTCTTAATGGCTTCTAACTAACCAAGCTGTGGCAATTTTTAAAAATAAGACAGCAATGACATCTGCCACATCCTCAATTGACTCTTCTTTTCATGAAAGATTTCTCTGCAGCATTCAATGCTATTCGATAGCACTGTACCCAACTAGAACTTCTTTCAAAATTGGAATCAATCCTCTTGAACTCTGATGCTGCCTTATCAACTAAGCTTATGTAATATTCTAAATCCTTTGTTGTCATTTCAGTGTTCACAGCATCTTCACCAGGAGTAGAATCCATCTTAAGAAACCACTGTTTTTGCTCATCCATAAGAAGCAACTCCTCATCTGTTCAAGTTTTATCATGAGATGGGAGAAATTCAGTCACATCTTCAGGCTCCACTTCTAATTCTTGTTCTCTGGCTTCCAACACATCTTTCCAACACATCTGCAGTGACTTCCTCCACTGAAGTCTTGAGCCACTCAAAGTCATCCGTAAGGGTTGAACTTCTTCCAAACTTCTGCTCATGTTGATATTTTTACCACCTTGTATGAATCACAAATTTTCTTAACGGCACCTACAACAGTGAATCTCTTCCAGAAAGTTTTCAATTCACTTTGCCAAGATCCCTCAGAGAAATCACTATAGTAGATATAGCCTTTCAAAAATTTGTTCTGTAATTTCAACTTTTATTTTAGATTCAGGGGGTTTAGGTGCAGGTATATTTGTTACATGGGTATATTGTGTGATGCTGAGGTTTGGGGAACAGTTGATCCCAACACCCAGGTGCCAGCACAGTCCCTGATATAGTTTGTATATCCCCTCCAAATCTCAGGTTGAAATGTAATCCCCAGTGCTGGAGGTGGGGCCTGTTGGGAGGTAACTGGATCATGGGGACAGGTTTCACATGAATGGTTTAGCATCATCCTCTTGGCACTATCCTCGCAATGGTAAGTTCTCATGAGATCTGGATGTTTAAAAGTGTGTGGCATCTTCCCTCTCACTCTTCATCCTGCTCTCTCCATGTGAGATGCCTGCTCCCATTTTGCCTTCTGCCATGATTGTAAGCTTCCCAAGGCCTCCCCAGATGTCAAGCAGGTGCCAGCAACATACTTCCTATAAAACCTGAGCAACTGTGAGCCAACTAAACCTCTTTTCTTTATAAATCACCCAGTCTCTGGTATTTCTTTAAGGCAACATAAGAACTGCTTAACACAGAACCCAATAGTTAATTTTTCAACCCTTGCTCCGTTATGGAGATTGCTTCTTTTCTTAAACCTCATGAAGCAACCTCTGCTACCTTCAAACATTTCTTCTGCAGCTTCCTTACCTTTCTCAGCCTTTACGGAACTGAAGAGAGTTAGGGCTTTGCTCTGGATTAGGCTCTGGCTTAAGGAAATGTCATGGCTGGTTTGATCTTCTTCCAGACCACTTCCTCCATATCAGCAATAAGGCTGTTTCACTTTCTTGTTGGTCATGTGTTCAATGGAATAGCACTTTTAATTTCCTTTGCATTCACAACCTGGCTAACTGGTACTAGAGGCCTAGCTGTGGCCTATCTTGGCTTTCAACATGTCTTCCTCACTAAGCTTAATTATTTCTAGCTTTTGATTTAAAGTGAGAAATGTGCAACTCAAGAGGCCACTGTAGGTTACTTGGCCTAATTTCAATACTGTTCTGTCTCAGGGAATTAGGGAGGCCTTAGGAAAGGAGGAGAAATGGGGGAGTGACTGGTTGGTGGAGGAGTCAGAACACACACAACATTTATTGACATCGTTTGCCATTTTACATGGGTGCAGTTTGTGGCTTTCCAAGATAATTATAATAGTAACATCAAAGATTACTGATCACAGCTCACCATAACAGATGTAATAATAACAGAAAAAGCTTAAAATATTGTGAGAATTACCAAAACTGACACAGAGACACAAAGTGAGCACACACTGTTAGAAAAATGATGCCAACAGACTTGCTTGACAAAGACCTTCAGTTGCAAAAAACCCTCACAAACCTCCTACTGGCAAACAACACAGTATCTGTGAAGCACAATAAAGCAAAGTGCAATAAGATGAGGCATGCCTGTATATGAAATACATACATACACACATATACATTTATATATAAATTATAAACATACATTTGAGAAAATATAATTGGTGATATAAACATATACAGAAATGGTCACATAATCAACATTCTTAGAGAAATCTGATCACTTACTCAGCACGATGGGCTGGAAGTTCATCTGTCTTCTTATCATCTCCTTTCTCTCGAGGATCTTTTAAAACAAAATCAACTAAAAGAAAATTTTAAAATTCTGATAAATAACCTTATATTAACTGTAGTACATTTCCAAGCAATTGCAAAGCTAGTTCTACTAAGATTAACTGTTTAAATTATATTAAAGTTGTTTAATAATGAGAAATTTGTGCATTTATGAGGAGAAGAAAATTTTTAAAACCTTACAAGAAAATGTATCATGTCTGTGTCTTTGAGGATATATGTTCCCTTTCTTAACACAATGTGTCCCTCCTCTTTCATTTGAAAGGAATAATTGCTCTTAATATTATATTTTCCTTTATAGCTATTCCATCAAAAATATTCTTGTTGAATTGAAGGTCAACAATACAGGATAGCAGTAGTTCTATTTCACCGAGAAAAGGTACATACACTTGGCCCTCTGTATCTGCAGGTTCTGCATCCATGGATTCAACCAACGATGAATCAAAAATATTCAGAAAAAATAATAAAAATAACAGACAACAATAAAAATGATACAAATAAAAATATACAGTGTAACAACGATTTACATAGCATGTACATTGTATGAGGTAGTATAAGAAATCTGGAGATGATTTAAAGTATACGGGAGGATGTACATAGGTTATATGCAAATACTATGCCATTTTATATCAGAGACTTAAGCATCTGCAGATTTTGGTATCTGTCAGGGAGGGGAGTGTCCTGGAACCAATCTCCTGTGGATACCAAGGAACAACAGTATTGCCTTGTTCTCTTTTAAGTTGCATAAGAGCATAAAACAGTCTTGTTATAAAATCAGAGAAGTCAGCTACCTCGCTTCTGTCTTCTATGGTCTTTAATTCACATTTAATTCTAATTCTTCTGCCCATATTTCAAGAAGCTCTAATATGCAAATCATATGTATTACCCCCTTCCCTACAATCTTTCAGAGACTCTCCTTTACCTTTAAGCGCTCTAAAAAGGCATATAAAGCCCTTCAGATTCTGTCCCCTTCCCCAGATGCACCCTATGCTTTGGCTTCAGAACTGCTTACAAGCCCAGAAGAGCCTCTCATGGGCGTCTGCTATCATTCACACCATTTCCTAGGCCAAGCATGTTCCCGACTAGACTGTTTTTCATCCTTCAAGACTTAGTTTAGGCTCCTCCAGAGTCCTTCCTAACAAGTTAGAGATGACCTCTTCTCCCTTACAGTGTATCTTCTGTTTCTTTCCTCTTTGGACTTATTACTTTGCTTTATATTTAGTTAATTGTCTATCTCCCTCATTACACTATGAACTCTGAGGGCAGGGATTAGGCTTTTTATTTTTATATCACCAGGATACTCCATAGAAGTCATAAATACAATGAATGTCCTCCACCAATAAGGGTCCCCACATTACTCCAAAGCATTATTATTTCTCCAATTTTGAACACAGCATCCGTCATACTAGGTTTACTATCATAACCAACTGGAGACGCTTTTTTTAAAGTACAGATTCCAAGGCCCTGACTCCAGGGATTTTAATTCAGGTGGGGCCAGAAGTCAGTATTTTTAAAACGGTTCTGGTAATCAGTCAGCCTTAGAATCTATTTGTCTGTACCATGGGTCAACAAATTATTTATGTAAAGGGTTAGACTGTAACTATTTTCGACTTTGTGGGCCACAAGGACTCTGTCACAACTGCTCAGTTTTGCTCTTGTAGCTCAAAAGCAGCCAGATTTGTAGATGACATGCAAATGAATTAGTGTGGCTATGTTCCAATAAAACTTTATGAAAACAGGCAGTGGCCAGATTTGCCTGTGAGCTATAGTTTGTCAACCTTTGGTCTACTGCAACAATTTTGTATTAATCACATTCTAATTTATGACATCGGTAATACTAATGTTCATTGTTAATGCTTACACTTTTAGGTAATTATTTAAATATGTATGTCTTGTCTCATGTCTACACCAAAAGATCCTGGAATGAAGAGACCATCTTAAAGGGAGAGACTATCTCCTAAATGCCTAATGCCTCGCATAAATTAGACACTCAATAAATATCTTGAGGGATTGAAATTAATGCTTTATAATTTTCTTCAGTGCTATCCTTTGTGGTGGGGATATATCCCTACAAATAGAAATAGAATTATTTTTTGTAATACTACATTAATGGAATTTGCCTAAGATCTTAAGTAATATAACAGCAATGTAAGAAATGGCATAATTATAATATTGTGACTAGTTTCAAGTATAGGTATTATTAATACAAAAATAATCTTTAATGAGACACATATTTGAATTAAAAATCAAAGCATAATACCAATTTACCTATGGATTTCCTTACACTAAGAAGATAATCCTCTCTCATTTCATCAGATAATGTAACTATGCTGTCAGTGAAGACTTTCAGATGTTGTGGAACTAAATCCAGTACGTGTTCTAGCCAAGAATCTTCCATTGGGGCTACATGGTCTGTATCAATTCCATGGTGAATATAATAGTAATATCTCTACAAAAAGAAGATAGGAAAAATGTAGATGTTTAACAAAAGAAGTATGTTTATCAAAAATAAAACTACCAAGCAAAATTCAAGTTTTAGGAGAACAAAGTATTTATAAAGCATAAAAAAGTATTTGGTACAATTCACATAGGTATTATTTGAGATCTCCTAAATGTTACAAATGTGTATTTTCATGAAAACTAAAACTCTTATCTCAGTTAATAACTATACTGTAAAACATCAAGTTATATTACCAAATATATGATGTACTTAACAGAGTCCATGCTGAATTAGTGTTTTGTTAATTTTTAAAAATGATTTGTTAGTTTTTCTCTTTTTATTATTATCAGAAGTAGATCTTAAAAGCTGTAAGCAAATCAGTATCTCTATATATTAATTCCAGAAATATTATACAATAGGATTTAGGACATTTCCAACTGGCCTATTAATATTCCATACTATAATTTTATAGCTGCTATTGTGTGTGTTCATAAAATATTCATTTTAAAACAAGTTATTATTTCTATAATAATGAACATTTAACTTCAATATACGTTCACAAATTTTTACATGTCACTTATTAGAAAAAATTTAAATGTCAAAATGCTTTTGAATTAGCAGTGTTGTCTTTGATATTTACATTTTAAAAAATTATTATGTATTTAAATACTTGAAGAATTACTATTCCTAAAGTACGTTAATATGCCTTGTAAAATATACATTATATAATTATTATAGGATAATTTCTCATAAAAAAATTAAGGCATGTAAAGCTATACATGACTGAAGCTGGCTTTAATATGGAGAGCAGGTAGATTTGAAATTTTTTTAAATTGTGGTCTTAGGTGGCAAGGGAGAGAATGATTTCTTCTACAAATCCCATGGTGCCTTTTTATAGAACTCTGTATTTATTCCTATGTCCACAGAGTTTCACAAAGGAGAAGCACAGAGTGGTCTCCAAAGTATAAAATTATCTTCAAGTGTTTCTTTCCTTTTCAATTATACAGACAAAACAAATGGCCAGTTACCAAGATGTCTTTCTCTATAGCAGAAGCGGTCGGTTTTGGAATTGTGCTTCCATCAGGGACAGCTGAGTCTAAGTCAGCATCTTGTTGCCTAAGAAAATGATAAACATACTATTCAAAAGTAGATAAGGGGCAGTTAGAACATAAAACAATGGATATAGGAACACCAGGACTATTTTCTATTAAATCATAAGGAAAAATGAATTGTTGAACATTTTACAAACAGCATACACATTTGTTTGGTGCTATATTCCTCTCCAAATACTTTATTCATAGAGAGACAATTATATTGGAAGTTACTTGCAAGACCTATTCAGAAATCACACCCTCCTTGATGGCCTTTACTTATTCTTCCTCATTACTCAAGAATCAAGCTCTCTCTTCTCTGAAATTATAAAGGAACACTCTTGCATTATTCCTAAAATATGTATGGTTATTTATAGATATGAGTTTTAAAAAGAACACTGATGGAAAGTACTTTAAACACAGTTTTGCAGAAGACACAGACACATTCTTCAAAAGGCCATTTCTCAGATTTCTATAGACATACAAGTTAGCAATCAGTGACATGGAAGCTTTTATGTGCCTATGTATTTATTATTGGGTATGTGTTCATATAATACAATAATGTTTGTAACTATAATTCAATTCAAAATATATGCCAAATATGAGCCACATTTTGTGACATGTTCTGGGGCTGCACTGGGCAGAAAGGCATAGTTCACATTTTCAGAAAAATAAGTTGTTGTGGGATAGCTTTAACCTCTTTATAATTGACTGTATCATTCTCTGGATCTCAACTTCATCTAAAATGGATACAGGTCAGTGATGTTGTATAATTAAGTACACCTTCCCACTAACTGCCCAGTGAGGGGAGACTCGAGGTTCATTGAGTATATCTGAGATACCATACCAAAGTGGGTATCCAGAATAGATCTTCTAACTTATTTATCTTTTGCAAATCCAGGAATGCAGTGTTTTGTGAATTTTACATATTCTTTTCAATTAAATGGACAAGATAAAAGAGTCAAGGCTTTGGGTAATGTCTCAGTTTAATTCAATAGATAGCTAGTGATCAATAAATGTTTGTTAAGTGAGGGAATGCAAGTATGAAAGTAGAAGAAATCCTCAAAGTATTTAGCACATGGAGAGAAAAGGGTTGATTATTCTAACTACAAATATAACCTCATTACATTGTTGACTACACAGAAGAGAACTCAGCAGTAACATATTTCAGGAATCAGGAAATCTGGGTTCAGAGTCTGCCACCATAAAGCATATGACCTCAGTAACTTTTGTTTGTTTGTTTGTTTGTTTGTTTTATGGCAGAAATGCTCATCCTACCTACCTTGCTGAATTCTAAGAATCAAACAAACCTCATTCTCTGTGTGAATAACGCCTGCCTAGAAAGATGCATCAGGGCAAGGGTGGGTGAGGAGGTAGAAGGTTGGGGGTTGTAGGAATGGCTGTAGAAGTTCTTCCAGTCAGAGTGAAGATCCTTTCAGCTCTAAAACTCCATGATTCTATCATTCTAGGGCCAGCAATTACTATTGCTCCTCACCGAGAGCAATAATAATGGCAGCTTTTTATTGATTACCTACTCAGGCCCTCAATAGTTTCACATATATTATTTATAATCCTCACACCTATTGTTAAAGAAGACAATGACATAATTATTCCCATTTCACAGATGAAGAAAGTGAATGTCAGAGAGGTTTAAATAACCTCCCCTTGGTCATACAGCTAATTAACTATGAAAGGAAGAATTTGCCCTTCCATATGTGCTTCCAAACAGCTGTGCTTATTCCGTTCAGAAATAAAACGATCAATAGAGGAGACATGTGGCCTGGGTACAGAGAAAATATGATGTACTTTATTTCTCAAAAATGAAAAGAACTATATTTATTTTTTTTTCTCTTTACAAAATCAGTAGAAGCTTTTGGTTCAAGATGGTGGCATGAGCATCCCTTTTTTAAATTGCCCTGAAAAAAAATGGTAGTGAAATAATTTTAACCCATTAATTATGAAGAAACTAGAAGAAAAGTCATCAGCTAAGGAGATATTTCACAAATTTCTGGAACCTGAAAAGAAGAGTATATTAGTCCGTTTTCACACTGTTGATAAAGACATACCTGAGACTGGGCAATTTAAAAAAGAAAGAGGTTTAATGGACTTACAGTTCCATGTGGTTAGGGAGGCCTCACAATCATGGCAGAAGGCGAAAGCCACTTCTTACATGATAGCAGAAAGACAGAGAAATGAGAGCCAAGGGAAAGGGGTTTCACCTTATCAAACCATCAGATCCCATGAGACTTACTCACTATCATAGGAATAATATGGGAGAAACCAACCCCATGATTCAATTATCTCCCACTGGGTCCCTCCCACAACATGTGGTAATTATGGGAGTACAATTCAAGATGCAGTTTAGGTGGAGGCACAGAGCCAAGCCATATCATTCTACCCCTGGCCCCTCCAAATCTCATGTCTTCACATTTCAAAACCAATCATACCTTCCCAACGGTCTCCTAAAGTCTTAACTCATTTCAGCATTAACCCAAAAGTCCACAGTCCAGAGTCTCATCTGAGACAAGGCAAGTCCCTACCGCCTATGAGCATGTAAAGTCAAAAGCAAGCTAGTTATTTCCTAGATATAATGGGGGTACAGGTATTGGGTAAATACAGCCATTCCAGATGGGAGAAATTGGCCAAGACAAAGTGGTTACAGAGCCCATTCAAGTCCGAAATCCAGCAGGGCAGTAAAATTTTAAAGCTCCAAAATGATCTCCTTTGACTCCAGGTCTCACATCCAGGTCATGCTGATGCAAGAGGTGGGTTCCCATGGTCTTGGGCATCTCTGCCCTGTGGCTTTTCAGGGTACAGCCTCACTCTTGGCTGCTTTCACAGACTGGTGTTGAGTGTCTGCGGCTTTTCCAGGCAAACGGTGCAAGCTGTCAGTGGATCTACCATGCTGGGGTCTGAAGGACAGTGGCCCTCTTCTCACAGCTCCACTAGGCGGTGCCCCAGTAGGGACTCTGAGTGGGGGCTCTGACCCCACATTTCCCTTCTGCACTGTTATATCAGAGGTTGTCCATGAGGGCCCTGCCCTTGCAGGAAACTTTTGCCTGGGCATCCAGGCATTTCCATACATCTTCTGAAATCTAGGTGAAGGTTCCCAAAGCCCAATTCTTGACTTCTGTGCACTTGCAAGCTCAACACCACATGGAAGCTGCCAAGGATTGAGGCTTGCACCCTCTTAAGCCATGGCCCAAGCTCCACGTTGGCCCCTTTCAGCCACAGCTGGAGCAGCTGGGACACAGGGTACCAAGTCCCTAGCCTGCACACAGCACGGGGACCCTGGGCCTGGCCCACAGAACCATTTTCTCCTGGGCTTCTGGGCCTGTGATGGGAGGGGCTGCCGTGAAGACCTCTGACATGCCCTGGAAATATTTTTCCCATTGTCTTGGGGATTAACATTTGGCTCCTTGATACTTATGCAAATTTCTGCAGCTGGCTTTAATTTCTCCTCTGAAAATAAGATTTTTTTTCCTATCGTATCGTCAGGCTGCAAATTTTTATGCACTGCATCTCTTATGAAACTGAATGCCTTTAACAGCACCCAAGTCACCTCTTGAATGCTTTGCTGCCTAGAAGTTTCTTCCACCAGATACCTTAAATCATCTCTCTCAAGTTCAAAGTTCCACAAATCCCTAGGGCAGGGGCAAAATGCCACCAGTCTCTTTGCTAAAACATAACAAGAGTCACTTTTGCTCCAGTTCCCAACAAGTTCCTCATCTCCATCTGAGACCACCTCAGCCTGGATCTTATTGTCCATATCACTATCAGGCTTTTGGTCAAAGCCATTCAACAAGTCTCTAGGAAGTTCCCAACTTTCCCACATTTTCCTATCTTTTTCTGAGCCTTCCAAACTGTTCCAACCTCTGCCTTTTACCCAGTTCCAAAGTTGCTTCCACATTTTCACATATCTTTTCAGCAACACCCCACTATACTGGTACCAATTTACCGTATTAGTCCATTTTCATGCTGCTGATAAAGACATACCCGAAACTGGGCAATTTACAAAAGAAATAGGTTTAATAGAACTTACAGTTCCACGTGGTTGGGGGGGTCTCACAATCATGGCAGAAGGCAAAAGGCACTTCTTACATGTGGTGGCGAGAGAGAAATGAGAACCAAGTAAAACGGGTTTCCCCTTATCAAACCATCAGCTCTCCTGAGACTTACTCATTACCATGAGAACAGTACGGGAGAAACCATCCCCATGATTCAATTATGTCCCACCAGGTCTCTCCCACAACATATGGGAATTATGGGAGTGCAATTCAAATGAGATTTGGGTGGGGACACAGAGCCAAACCATAAAAGAGAGGACAGACGAAACAGTTTAAAACACCACAGCCCAAAACTCATACAGGAAGGAAAACAATCTGCCTGGGAGACCACTAGAAAAGGCTCTGGTATCAGGGTTGGCAGATACCAAAGGAGAGAATGAGTAGGAAGGCTGAAAACCAGGAGGTTATCTGAACAGCTTTCTGCCAACAAATTACATAAAAAGAATACGTTCCCAAAAGGCAAAAAAGGATCAAATATGACCCAATCAACAACAGAAAATCTGAATAGATCTGTATCAAGTACACTAATTGAATTAGTAATTAGCTTGCCAACCAAGAAAAGTTCAAGTCCAGATGGCTTCACTAATGAATTTGATCAAACAAGGAGGAAATAATACCAATTCTACACAAATTCTTTCAGAAAATAGAAGAGGTAAAAACACTTCCCAACTCTTTTTATGAGGCCATTAGTGGCCTGATATCAAAGCCAGACAACAATATCACAAGAAAACTACAGGGCCATATCATTCATGAATATAAACTAAAAAATCCCGAACAAAATACTAGCAAATCAGATCCAGCAACATATTAAAAGGATTACACACAATGACTAAGTGAGAGGAATGCAAGGTTGCACTAATATATAAAAAGCAACTAATGTAATATATCACATTAATAGAATAAAGAACAAAAACCAAATGATCACCTCAACAGACACAGAAAAAGCATTTAACAAAAATCCAGGATTCATTCATGATAAAATCTCTCAACAAATTTGGAAAGGAAATGATAAAAGATATCTATTTCCTTTACATATTTTTTGAGCCCACGTTGTGTTATTTTTTCTTAATTATTTAATATGTAATTTAACTGTAAATTGATGATTTATAGTTGTATATGATTATAAGGTAAAAAGTGTTATGATTTATTAATACAATGTGGAATAATTAAAGCTAATTAACATATCCATCACCTCAAATACTTAACACTTTGTGTGGAGAATTTATGAAATTTACTCTCAAAGATTTTGAAATGCACAATACATTTACTAAATTTGCCATGCTGTGCAATATGTTTTAAAGAAAAAAACAAAACTTACCCCTGTCTAACTAAGTCTTTGTAGCCTTTAACCATCATCTCCCCATTCCCCCTGCCTCCCTCCAGCCTCTGGTAACAACCATTCTACTCTCTGTTTCTTTTAGTTCAAGTATTTTAGATTAAACATATGAGAACATGCATATTTGTCTCTCTGTACCTATCTTATTTCACTTAGCATAGTGTTCTTCGATTCCATCCAAGTTAAATGATAAAATTTCCCTTTTTTAAGGCTGAAGTGTATTCCATTGTGTATATATACCACATTTTTTTAATCCATTCATCTGCTGATGGACAGTCAGGTTGATTACATAACTCAGCTATTATAAACAGTGCTGAAATGAACATGGGCATGCAGATGTCTCTTGAACATACTAATTTCAAATCTTTTGGGTGAATACCCAAAAATGAGATTGCTAGATCATATGGTAATTCTATTATTAGTTTTTTGACAAATATTCATACAAATTTCCACAATGGCTGCACTAATTTACATTCTCATCAACACTGTACAAAGGTTCCTTTTCTCCACAAAGTGTCTTAAAAACCTACAACTAACATTTCACATTAATGTGAAAATCTGAATGCTTTCTCCCTTAGACTAAGAATTCCACTCTCACCAATTATTTTCAACAATATACCAAAGGACCTAATAAGTGCAAAAAGGATATAAAAAGAAAAAAGCATCCAAGTTGGAAATGAAGAAATAAAATTGTTTTTACTTGCATACACATGATCGTATGTATAGGAAATTCTAAGGAACTTTTAAAAGCTCTAAAATAAGTAAGTTTAGTAAGGTCTCAAAAACATAAGGTCAACAAGCAAAAATCAATTGATTTTTCTATATACTGGCAAAGAACAACCAGAAAATAAAATTAAATAATTTCATTCACAATAAAATTAATGGGATTACATTTTTAAAAAGAAGGGCAAGATTTCTACACAAAAATGTATATAAAGTGCTGAGAGCAACCGAAGATCTAAATAAGTGGAGAGAAATAACATGTTCATGGACTAGGCAACTCAATATTACTGAAATGACAATTCTCCAAAAATTCATTCACAGTCTCAACGCAATGCTTTCCAAGTCCCAGTAGGCATTTTTCCTTTGCAAAATCTGACAAGCTGATCTCTAAATATATGTAGAAATGCAAAAGACCTAAAACACCCAAAATAATTTTGAAAAAGAATAAATTTTGAGGGCTTAAACTATCTAATTTCAAAACTTACTATGAAGCTAAAGTAATCAAGACAAGTATGGTACTGGTGTAAAAATAAACACATAGATCAATGGAACAGAAATAGCCCCTCGTATATGGTGAAATTATTTTCCACAAGTATGCCAAGGTAATTCAAGGGATTAGGGGTTGAAACATTTGAACATTTATATGCCAAAAAATTGAACATCAAACCGTACCTTACACCATAGACAAAAATGAAGTTGAAATGTATCATGCATGTAAACGTAAGAGTTAAAATTATTTTTAAAAACCTAGGCCAGGCACAGTGGCTCATGCCTGTAATCCCAGCACTTTGGGAGGCCGAGGCAAGTGGATCACCCGAGGTCAGGAGTTTTGAGACCAGCCTGACCAACATGGTGAAACCTCATCTCTACTAAAAATACAAAAATTAGCTGGTTATGGTGGTGCACACCTGTAATCCCAGGTACTTGAGAGGCTGAGGTAGGAAAATCGCTTGAACCCAGGAGGCGGAGGTTGCAGTGAGCCAAGATCACGCCACTGCACTCCAGCCTGGGTGACAGACAAAGACTCCATCTCAAAAAAAAACCTATAAGACTTCCAGAAGAAAATACAGGAGGAAATCTTTGAGAATTTGTATTAGGAAAAGACTTATATGACTCCAAAAGTATGAACAACAAAAGGAAAATTGATAAATTATATTTTAACAAAATGTGAAACTTTTTATTTTCAAAAAATATTGATATAACCTGCAACCATTGTTGCATCACCTTCTAGTGTATGAAGTCTGATGGGTCTTTGCACCACCTCTAAGGCACTTTGGATTTGTTGGAGGAAGAAAACTAAATGAACAAAGGAGAAGAGAAGATGACAGAAGACTGTCATGTTTACTGCCAAACAGCTCTCAAGGATGATTGTATGAAGTAGCTGAAGAGAGGCGCCCAGTGCCTGTCTTCTCCATAAAGAAGGACCAAAACAGCAAGTACATAAACACACATCAAGTAGATCATCTAGGGGAGAACACTGGAATCCAGCAGAGAAAAAACAGGGACCCTCTGAGGCATGGAAAACTTAAGATGGCAATGTAGAGAGGAAAGTAGGGCAGTAGGCCAGTTCAGCCCAGAGCCAGGAGGAATGCTCCATTGCAGGAAAAATGTAAGTGAGGTATTGCCCAGCTGTTCACATTTCCACCCAAGAAACCTGCAGTCCTAGATACAGAAAAGCCTGTTGGCTCTCAGGATCCCTGAGCCTAGTATAGGGTGCTGCATGGAGCACCCACAACTGCATTGTTCCAGAGATGGAACTTGGGCTAAATCCCACTTCTGGAACCCAAGCTGCCATAGCACTGCACCATTTTGAGAGCAGAGCCAACACCACAGGATTATATCCTGTCCTTGGTACAACAGTACCTGCATCTCCACATTCTTTTTTTTTTTTTTTTTTTTCCAGGCAGAGTTTCACTCTTGTTGCCCAGGCTGGAGTGCAATGGCGTGATCTCAGCTCACTGAAACCTCTGCCTCCTGAGTTCAAGCGATTCCCCTGCCTCAGCCTCCCAAGTAGCTGGAACTACAGGTGCCCGCCACCATGCCCAGCTAATTTTTTTGTATTTTTAGTAGGGACAGGGTTTCGCCATGTTGGCCAGGCTGGTCTCGAACTCCTGACCTCAGGTGATCTGTCCACCTCAGCCTCTCAAAGTTCTGAGATTACAGGCATGAGCAACTGTGCCTGGCCTCCACATTCTTAAGGCCCCACTGACATCCCCCTACATCCACCCAGAGGGCTACAATAGCATGGCATTGGCTGAACCCAGTGGACTGCCACATCACCAGCACCCAAGTTCATGCAGTGTCCTACTACCCAAGGAATAGGCGATCCAGCATATCCAGGAGTCTTCCCCCAAGGTATTGGGAACCAAAGTGTGTACTCCCCAGAGCCTAAGAGCAGTCTACCTGGGGCCACTGCCACCAACAATGACCTTGCCCCCTCATCAGCAGGGACACTGTGTGTCCCACCTGGGGGTCCAGGGACCAGCCTGCCCACCCCACTGCAGATGCTGCCAGTGCCCACCTGCCCTACCCTGGACCTTTCCAGCTGGCCTGTGGCCGACACCAATAATCTGGGTGTGATCCATTCTAGCACTCAAGGACCAACCTGCCTTCACTATTGCTGGCATCTATGCAACCCATCTGGGCCCCAAAGAGCAGATCTCCTTGCCTACTAGTGCCCACATGCTCTGCCTAGAGACCTAAGGACTGGCATTCCCAGGGCTCAACACTGCCGGTGCCCATGCATGCCACCCAGGAAACCAAGGACCAGTCCACCCAGCCCACTGCCACCATTCCCAGCACCCACACACCCCTCCTGGGACCCAGATACTGCCCTCCATGAGTCATACCAAATCCCTGCCAGTGCCCCCATGTACCACCTAGGGACCTAAGGACTAGCCTACCTGGTATCCCTGTCCTTAGCAAAGCCTCATCACAGCCTCCACAAACACCCACAGCCTAGCCACTAAGTAATTTGCAGACACTACTGATATCAAATACAATCAAAGTAATCATACGAACATTACACTATGGTGTCCACCCAGAACCAAAGCCAAAGCACCCTACCCAGTTAACATACTGATACATTCACAAGAAAAAGTATTTTCCTATGGAAGCTGCTTCATAAAATTGGAAGAAGTGACAGTTATAACAGATGCACAGATATCAACATAAGGACAACAGAAACATGAAAAAAATCAAGGAAACACAACACCTGCAAAGGAACACAATAATTCTCTACCAACAAGCCCCAAAGAAAAGGAAATCTAAAAAACCCCTGAAAAGGAATTAAAAATAATGATCTCAAGAAAACTCAGCAAGATACAAGAGAACACATATAAACAATATAAGCAAATCAGAAAAACTCATAAGCTGAATTAGAAATTTAATGAAAGGATAGATGTCACAAAAAAGAACCAAACAGAAATCCTGAAACTGAAGAAATGAACAAAATAAAAAAATCAGGAGTTTCTGCAATGGACTAGATAAAGTAGAAGGAAGAATTTTTTAACTTGAAGACAGGTATTTTGAAATAACCCAGTGAGACAATAAAAATGAATCAAAAAGAAGAAAGCCTGAGGGGCATATGGGATACCATCAAGCAAACAAATATTGAAATTTGGCAAGTTCCAGAAGGAGAAAAGATGGGGAAAAGCATAGAAAATTAATTTAATGAGATAATAACTGAAAACTTCCCAAGTCTTAGAAGAGATATAAACATCTAGAAATACAAAACTCAGAAAGATCCCCAAATAGATTCAATCCAAAAAGTTCCTCTCTGTGGCACAACATATATAGTTAATCTGTCAAAAGTCAAAGACAAAGAATTCTAAAAACAGCACAAGAAAACTTGCTGTAAAATTTTCTTGTCAAGTGACATATAAGGGAATAGCCAACCGAAAAACAGCATACTTATCAGCAGAAACCTTAAAGACCAAGACAGAATAAGACTATATATTCAAAGTGCTAAAAGAAAAAAAAAACTGTCAATCAAGAATACTATACTTAGCAAAGCTATCCTTCAGAAGTGAGGAGAAATAAGGACTTTCCCTAACAAATAAAAACTGAGCAAATTCACCACCACTAAACAGGTCCTACAGGAAATGGTTAAGAGAGACCTACATCTGGAAGCAAAAGGATGATATCCACCATCATGAAAACACACTAAAGCATAAAATTCACTAGAAGAGCAGATACACAAATGAGAAAAAGGAGTCAAGCAATACTTTATAGAAGAACACCAAATCACAAAGGTAAGCAGTAAGAGGAGAACAAAGGCCATATAAAACAACCAGAAAACAATCATTAAAATGACAGGAGTAAGCCCTCACCTATTAATAACAACCTTTAATATATATAAACAGTTGAAATTCCCCTAATTAAAAGATACAGACTAGTTGAGTTGATTAAAAAAACAAAACCCAACTATATGCTGCTGACAAGAAACTCACTTCACCTGTAAAGGTACACCTACAGACTAAAAATGAAGATATTCCATGCAAATGGGAACCAAAAACAGGTTTAGAATTTGCATGGTATATCTTCACTTTTAGTCCATGTGTGCCTTTACAGATGAAGTAGTAACTATACTTCTATCAGACAAAATAGACTTTAAGTAAAAAAACATAAAAAGAGATAAAGGAGGTCATTATATAATGAAAAGGGATCAATTCACCAAGTAGATCTAATTATAAATATATACCCACTCAATACTGGAGCATTCAGATATATAAAGAAAATATTATTAAAGTTAAGGAGAGACATAGACCCCAATACAATAGAAAGGGACTTTAATTCCCCACTTTCAGCATTGGACAGATCATCTAGACAGTAAATCAACAAAGAAACACTGAACCTAAACTGCACTGTAGACCAAATGGACCTAATAGACATTTGCAAAATGTTCCTTTCAATAGCTACAAAATATGCATTCTTCTCATCAGTGCATGGAACATACTCCAGGTTAGACCACATGTTAGGCCACAAAACAAGTCTCAGCAAATGTAAAAAAAATCAAATCACACACAATGAAGTAAAACTAGAAACCAATAGCAAGAGCAACTTTGAAAACAGTACAAATACAGGGACATTAAATACCAAGCAACCACTGGATCAATGAAAACATTAAGATGGAAATAAAAAATTTCTTGAAACAAATAAAAATGAAAACATAGTATACTAAAACCTATGGAATACAGCAAAAGCAGTGCTAGAAGGGAAGTTTATAGTAAGAAACCCATAAAAAATAGATTTCAAATAAACAACATAAAAACATACCTTAAGGAAATAGAAAAGCAAGAACAAATCAAATCCAAAATTAGTAGAAGAAATAATAAAGACCAGAGTAGAACTAAATAAGAGACCAAAATCCAGGTGCAGTGGTTCACGCCTGTAATCCCAGCACTTTGGGAAGCCAAGGCAGCTGGATCACTTGAGGCCAGGAGTTAGAGACTAGCCTGGCCAACGTGGCAAAACCCTGTCTCTGCTAAAAATAGAAAAAATTAGCTGGGGGTGGAGGTGTGTTCCTGTTATCTCAGCTACTTAGGAGGTTGAGGCATGAGAAGCACTTGAACCCAGGAGGTGGAGGTTGGAGTGAGCCTAGGTTACATCACTGTACTCAACAGAGTGAGATTCTGCCTCAAAAAAAAAAAAAAAGACAAAAAAAAGATTTCAAAATTTAGTTTTTTAAAAAGATAAATAAAATTGACAAACCACTAACTAGACTAAGAAAAAATCATTAAAGACTATTATGATCAACAACTACACAACAATAAATTCAAAAACCCAGAAAAAATAGACACATCCCTAGACACATATAACCTACCAATATTGAACCAGGGAAGAAATAGACAAATAATGAGTAATGAGATTGAATCAGTAACAAAATTATTTGCACAGACAAATAATGAGTAATGAGATTGAAACAGTAATAAAAAGTCTCCCCAAAAAGAAAAGCCCAACACTGGATAACTTTACTGCTGAATTCTATGAAAATTTTAAAGTACTAACACCAATTTTTCTCAAACTATTCCAAAAACTTGAAGAGAAAGGAATTTTTCCTAACTCATTCTACAAGGTAAGCATTACCTTGATACCAAAACCAGATACAGATACAACAAAAGGAGAAAACTACAGGTCAATATTCCTGAGGAACATAGACACAAAAATCCTCACCAAAATACCAAAACCAAATCCAATAATACATCAAAAAGATAATATACCACAATCCACAATCAAGGGGGATATATTCTAGGAATGCAAGGATGGTTCAACATTCATAAATCAATATATGTGATACACCACATCAACCAAAGAAAGAGAAACCATACAATCATCTTAATAGATGTGGAAAAAGCATTTGATAAAATTCAACATGCCTTTGTGAAAAAACTCTCCACAACCTTGGTACAGAAGGAACATACCACAAAACAATAAAGGCCATATATGACAAATCTGCAGCTTTCATCATACTAAATGGGGATAAATTAAAATAGTTTTCTGTAAGATCTGGAACAAGAGAAGGTTGCCACTTTCACCACTTTTATTCAACATTGTACCAGAAGTCTTAGCCAGAGCAATTACACAAGATAAAGAAAGGGCATCCTAATTGGAAAGGTAGAAGTCAAATTGTTCTTGTTTGCAAATGACATGATCTTATATTTAGAAAGAAAAAAAAGGACTCCACCCAAAAATTGTTAGAACTGATAAATGATTTCAGCAAAGCTGCAAGATACAAAATCAACATACAAAACTCAGTAGCATTTCAATATACCAATAGCAAACATTCAGAAAAAGAAAGCAATCCAATTTATAACAGCTAAGAAACTAATTACCTAGGAAGAAATTTAATCAAAAAGTGAAAGATCTCTACAATGAAAAATAAAAAACACTGAAAAAAATAAATTGAAGAAAATCCCTTAAAAAATGCAAAGCAATCATGGATTGGAAAAATTATTATTGTTAAAATGTCCATACTGCCCAAAGCAATCTATACATTCAATACACTCCCTATCAAAATACAAATGACACTCTTCACAGACATAGAAAAAACAATCCTAAAATTTATATGGAACCACAAAAGACCCCAAATAGCCCTAATCCTTAACAACAACAACAACAAAAAGACCAAAAATGGAGGAATCACACTACCAGACTTCAAAATACAGTACAAAGCTATAGTAACCAAAACAGCATAATGCTGATATAAAAACAGACACTTAGACCTGTGGAAAAGAATAGAGAAAGCATAAATAAATCCATGCATTTATATTCAACTCATTTTTGACAAAGGTGCCAAAAACATAAATTGGGGAAAGGACAGCCTCTTCAATAAATGGTGCTGGGGAAACTGGGTATCCATATGAAGAATAAAACTAGACCCTATCTCTCACCATCTACAAAAATAAAATGAAAATGGATTAAAGACTTAAATCTAAGACCTGAAACTATGAAAGTACTAGAAGAAAACATTGGAAAAATGCTTCAGGAGATTGGTCTGGGCAAAGATTTTTTGGGGTAAGACCTCGAAAGCATAAGCAACAAAAGAAAAACAAGATTATATCAAGCTAAAAATATTTGCATAGCAAAAGAAACAATCAACAGAATGAAGAGAAAACCCACAGAATGGGAGAAAATATTTGCAAACTATCCATAGACAAGGGATAAGGGATTAATAACCAGAATATATAAGGAACTCAAACAACTCAACAACAAATAATAATAATAATAATAATTTGATTAAAAATGGGCAAATGATCCAAATAGATATTTCTCCAAAGAAGATGTACATATGGCCAACAGATGTGTGAAAACTTGCTCAACATCTCTAATCACCAGGGAAATGCAAAGCAAAACCACAATGAGATATTATTTTACCCCAGTTAAAATGGCTATTATCAAAAAGACAAAAAATAACAGATGTGGGCAAGGATGTAGAGAAAGAGAATTCACACACACATTGTTGGTGGGAATGTAAATTAGTACAGCCAATATAGGAAACAGTATGGAAGTTCCTTTAAAAACTAAACATAGAATTATTAGATTGTTGCAAAAGTAATTACAGAATACTATATGATCCAGAAATCCTATTGCTGTGTATATATTCGAAATAAAGAAAATAAGTATATCAAAGAGTTATCTGCACAAAGAAATAATAAATATTTGAGGGGACAGATATCCCAATTACCCCGATTTGATTGTAGACATATATTGAAATATTACATGTATCCCATAAATATATAAAATTATTATGTACCAATAGTGTGAAAAGATAAGGCACAAACTGGGAGATAATATTTGCAAAAGATATCTGAAATGGACTTGTAAAGGAAATACATAAAGAACTCTTCCAATGCATACAGCAGCAGCAAACTACGCAATAAAAAAAGGGCCAAATATTTAAATAGGCACCTCATCAAAGAAGATACATGAATGTCAAACAAGCACAAAAAATGATACCCAATATTAGTCATTAGGGAAATCAACTTAAAGTCATAATAAGATAAAACACATCTACTAGAATGGCTACAGTGTCAAAACAAAATAAAAACAAAATGTGGGTAAGGTGGAGAAACTAGAAACTTCTTCATTTGTTGTTTGTAGGAATAGAAAATGTACAGCAGCTTGGAAAACAATTTAGCATGTCTTAAAAAGTTGAACATATACCTACTATACAACTCTTCATTCTACACTCAGCTATCTGCCCAGCAAAAATGAAAATGTATGTTCACAAGAAGACGTGCATGCAAATGTTCACATCAGCATCATTCATAATAGTCAAAACCCAAACACAATAAATGCCATGAATAAACCTCAGAAATAAATATATGATTGCAGTTATATGAAATTTTAGAAAAGGTAAAAGTATAGAGATAGAAAGAAGACTAGCGATTACCTGGGGCAACCAGTGGGCAAGAGGATTAATTGAAACGGGCAAGTGGAAGCTTTTGTGAATGACAAAAGTATTCTAAAACTGGATTTTGGTGAAGGTTGTGCAACTACAAAAATTTGCTAAAACTCACTACGTTTTACATTTAACATAGATCAATTTAGAGGCATGTGAATTATCTCTCAAAGCTTTTTTTAAAAAAAGGGAAAAAAAAGCCTATCTGTGAGGCTTTGAAAATAAAATGTTCCCCCCAAAAAAGGTTAGAGAGAACCAAGACAGATTACCAACAAAATAATGACAAATAAAGTCACATAGGGTTCTCGTCAACAATGCATGCCAAAACATAATGGTTATCTCTCGCCTTATACAAAAATCAACCCAAGATGGATCAAAGACTTAAATCTAAGATCTGAAACCATAAAAATTCTAGAAGATTACATCAGAAAAACTTCTGGATATTAGCTTAGGCAAAGAGTTCATGACCAAGAATCCAAAAGTACATGCAACAGAAACAAAGATAAATAGATGGGACCTAATTAAACTAAAAAGCTCCTGCACAGCAAAAGAAGTAATCAGCAGAGAAAACAGACAACCCAGAGTGGGAGAATAAATTCGCAAACTATGCATCTGACAGAGGACTAATACCCAGAATCTATAAGGAACTCAAAAAATCAGGAAGAAAAAAAATCCCATCAAAAGTGGGCTAAGGACATGAATAGACAATTTTCAAAAGAAGATATGCAAATGGCCAGAAAGCATATGAAAAAATACTCAACATCCCTAATTATTGGGGAAATGCAAATCGAAACCACAATGCAATACCACTTTACTCCTGCAAGAATGGCCATAATTTAAAAATCAAAAAATAATAGATGTTGGCGTGGATGTGTTGAAAAGGGAACACTTTTACACTGCTAGTGGGAATGTAAACTACTACGACTACTATAGAAAACAGTATGGAGATTCCTTAAAGAACTAAAGATAGAACTATCATTCGATGAAGCAATCCCATTACTCAGTATCTACCCAGAGGAAAATAAGTCATTATATAAAAAAGACACTTGCACACACGTTTATAGCAGCAAAATTCACAATTGTAAAAATATGGAACCAGCCTAAATGCTCATCAATCAATGAGTGGATAAAAAAATGTTTATATATATATATATGTGTGTGTGTGTGTGTGTGTGTATACATACACACACACATACACCATGGAATACTACTAAAAAGGAATAAAATAACAGCATTTGCAGCAACGTGGATGGAGTTGGTGACCATTATTCTAAGTGAAGTAACTCAGGAATGGAAATCCAAACATCGAATGTTCTCACTCATATGTGGGACCTAAGCTATGAGGACACAAAGGCATAAGAATGATATCATGGACTCTGGAGACTCAAGGGGGAAAGGGTGCAGGGGGGTGAGGGATAAAAGACTACACATTGGGTACAGTGTACACTGTTTAGATGATGAGTGCACCAAAATCTCAGAAATCACCACTAACGAATTTACCCATGTAACCAAACACCACCTGTTTCCCCAAAAACTACTGAAATAATAATTTTAAAAAGGTAATCATTAATATTTTTCAATCTATAATTTCCCAGATGTACAGGGGAAAACTGCTATTATTCTTTAATTCTACAGCCAACTTAACCATTAATTCAAGAAAAAGGATGAAATTGAGACCTTTATAGACATGAATATCTGGAATTTACTACTCTTTATTCTCATTGAAAGAACTACTGGTCAGACACAGTGGCTCACACCTATAATCCCAGCACTCTGAGAGGTTGAGGTAGGGGACCACTTGAGCCCAGGAGTTTGACACCAGCCTGGGCAACATGGTGCAACCCCATCTCTACAAAAAATAATAATAATACAAAAAATTAGTCAGGTGTTGTGGCACGTGCCTTAGTCAGGAGGCTGAGGTGGGAGAAACATCTGAGCCCAGGGTGTCTAAGTCTGGAGTGAGGCATGATCATGCCACTGCACTCCAGCCTGGGCAAGAGGATGAGATTCTGTCTCAAAAAAGAGAGGGAGAGAAGAAAAGAAGGAGAAGGTGAAGGAGGAGGAGGAGGAGGAAGAGGAGATGGAGGAGGAGGAGAAGGAGGAGGAGAAGAAGGAGGAGGAGGAGGAAGAGAAGAGGAGAAGGAGGAGGAAAAGGAGGAGGAGGAGGAGAAGGAGAAGAAGAAAGAGAGGGAGGGAAGAAAAAGAAGAAGGGAAGGGAATGAAAGGGAAGGAGGGAGGAGAAAGAAAAGAAAAAAGAAAAAAAAGAGGAAAGAATAAAAGAGGGAGGAAGGGAGGGAGGGAAGGAAGGAAGAAAGGAGACAGAGAGAGACAAAGAAAGAAAGGCAGAAAGAAAGAGCAAACTACTAAGAGACAAACTTCAGCAAAAAAGAAAATGAACCCAGAAATGAGGAGTGGAATGCAAAAGCAACTTTCTAAAAATTTTGAAAACATGTTAGTAAATCTAAGTGTTAACTTAAAAAAAATACAGAGAGAGAGAGAGAATATGGGTACTTAAGGACTTGGTGGAACTGAAATATTAAACAATAATCACATAGAAAATACAAAGGAAAGCTCAGAGCTAAATTAAATCATGTTAAGGTCTTTGTGTGTTATTCAGAAGGAAGATAGAAAAAAATGAATTTTCAACCTTAAGAAATATAAATTAAATATGTAGTTTTAAATGTTAGGGTAACCATTAAAAGAACAGAAATATATTTCATAGCTTCTAAACCAATAAAAATAAAGGAAGAATAGAGAAAATTCAACAGAAAGCAGAAAAAGAGAAAAAAATAAGCAAAAGCAACATATGATAAATAGGAAACATAAAATACATTGGTAGAAGTCCACATATATGAGAAATACCAATAAATACAAACGGGATTAAACAAGCTATTAAAGCACAGAACTCTAAGATTGAATTTCAGTAAGTCCATCTATATCCTGTTTATAAAAGGCAAAACAGAAAAAATGACAAAAGATGGTTAAAATAGACTTCTGTTTCTTACAACACAGAAACAAAAAAAAAACCTCCCAGTACAATTGTATAAATACTGGATAGTATATCACAAAGCTCCTTTTAAATGTATAGCTGAGCTTACAAGAAAGAAACAGAAAAATCAGGAGGAAAATAAATTAAGTAGACAGGCATGGCCATCCTAAGGCTACGGCTGCCCTTATGGGGGCAGGGCCTTGGATTTTCATGCCCATATGGGGAAGAAGATGATGCCATAGGCCTGAGTGAAATGGGGAATTCCAACTGAAATCCTGTATAAAGCTGAAACAAGATCTGCCCTACCCTCAAATAAGGGAAGACTAAAAATAACAGGCACAGGAAGTTGTGTCAAGAAAGCTTATCTTTCTTGGGCAGGGCTCCAGGTAGAAAAAAAAAAATTCTTCTAAAAATTTGTAACCAGAGGTCTACCCTCCATTGATTTGGGTGTTGATCATACTGCTTGTTTGATCTGAGAGTGCTTAAGTCAAGAAAACAATATAAGTGGGGAAAGCTGGTAGCATCCTAGTGGCACCTGGCAAAAGCAAACTCGAAACCACTCTAGAAGAAGCACATACGCTCAACCCAGCTGCATGGGACTCCGATACACTCCTTTTTAGCCTTGTAAGCACTCAGTACCCACTGTCCTCCCTTCAAGATGACCATCTAGCCAGTAAAGTCCCACATGGGACAGTAGAACAGGGTCCTGTGAGTGAGTTACTTACCACAATGGGTCATGAAACCCCACTCGTCCCACAAATGGTGTACACCCTGAGAATCATAACGAAACTAAAGAGAATACTAAGCAACTAGCACAAAGCGGTGTGGAAACAAGGCAAAGAAGAGCTGGTGACTTGCATCTGCCTTGCTCTTTATGAACTGTCCTGAAACAGTGAGACCCAGGTAAGACCAGGCCCTGCACACACTGCTGACCATTTCACCCCAATTCCTTTTCTATACAAGGAGAATCACAATGCCGGAAAAGTCACCCCCATCACCTGAGCAGATGAGATTGGGGAAAAAAAACCTGCTAGAATCCTCCACTGGCTACCATGGCTATAATAAGAACTCCCAGAAATTCAGCCAACATTAAGTATTAACATTGCTACCTTTACAACTCATGATATTTAGAAGTGGAACACACTTAACAGGGTTAAACTCAATCTCTTTCATTCTTTATTTATACTCTGACCTCATTCCAACAAGCCTTTGAGGCACCCTTAGAGATGCACAGAATTCTAATATTCTTAGGTTAAACGTTGCCAGGGGCTCTAACATGGGTAACACGTAATGGTTAGCCTATACAACTTACATAATGACATTAACAAGAGTACTTCTAAAGTTTTCTCGTTCTTTATGTGGAGATTTGCCCTTTGATTTGGAAGTAGATGGTCCAACATAACTATCATCAACTTGGTGGGGTAATTTGCCCTTTTTTCCAAAACGTTCCATGTATTCAGCTTAAATTAAAACAAAAAAAAAAGCACAATTATTCATCTAAAAGGTAAGCTAAAGCATTTCACATGCTTAAAATAAGATGCTAAATCACCTTTTAATAAAAAATTACATTATCAAGTAATCCTAAGTATAATTTTTTTTTTTTACTATCAGGAGGTTAAACTACTCCTCTTTTGTATCATCATAACTAGAAACATCTATTTCAAGAATATTCCACTGATTTATATTTTGATTAATATACTAATAAAATTTTCTATTATATTTACATATGATTCTCTAAAAGTGAACATTAAAATTATGATAAAAACAGGATACAAAACTATTTGAGAAATTTTAAAGAACCATGACAAAAAGTTAATATTAACTGTAATCAATCTGATAAACACTACATTTAATGAGTCAAAATAATAAAAACATTAAAATGACTAATTTGGAAGTCATGTTCACAATTTATTAAAACCCACAAAAAATTTTAAAAAGAAATATAATTTATTAAAATCTCTCTTATAAAAATCTCAGTCTTTGATGTAGAGGCAAATTCTGACCACAATAAATAAACGTTTTAGTATCAACAACCCAATTCCTAAAATATCAGCTCTTATAGCATTTACAACAGCCTAAAATAACTGAGAACTACAATCAATTATTTTCTGAGGGAAGATGTATTGGGAAAATTTTTTTCTACTTGACATTAATGTCATTCAGGTTTTGTACTTCTATTACACTATTAACTAAATATTGTCTGGTCTCTCTCTACAAATTATCCTTAAATCTAATTTAGAATATTGAAGTTCTTACCATGGGACTGTTCATTTTTAACACTAAATGGTTCTGGACTCTCATCATCCTGCTTTACACTCAAATGGAATGATGGAGCTGCCTGCTGCCAGTGGGGCTTTGTACTCACCTAAAATACAAAATTTAAATAGCATTAACAAACAATATCAGAAAAAAACCTTTTTCCATGAAATGCACGAGTGTTTATAAACACAGACATTTTCTCAAACAGATCAGAACATCTGGATAGAAAATACTCAACAGTAGATCTTATTCAAGCCTGTGAATGGTCATGGTGTGCACCATTTGGGGGACATTAACAAAAGTCCTGCTGTTGGTTGGATGTGAATGCCTGTTACCTAAAACCAGGGTCTTCATTCTAGAGAGGCTACTCCTCATCCCCAGATATTGTCAAGTGTCTTTAAACCTTCTATTTTAATGAGAAGTGCTCTCTGCTGGTCTCCTCTGCATTCCAGCTCCAAAAGGTCTTCCTGTTCTCATGGCTGTAAACCACCCTAGATTGCTCTGACAACTCACAAATGTATTCCATTGTTTCAGGCAGGGGTGACAAATTATTATACATACACAATTTTGGCAGGTGTCATAAAAAGGGAGAAGGCTAATGATGATAGGTTCCTGGCACTCAGGCTCCATGTTGGGAAACAACAGTGTGTGGTGAGGACTGTGGCAGAGGAGAGAGCACCTTCATCTTCTAAAAACGCAATGACTAATTAGCTCAAGCCAATTATTGCAATACCAGAACACAAACCTACTGTTGCTGAAGCCTATGGTTCTTCAACAAACCCAGACAGTCGGATTTTAAAGTAAAATCTATATATTTTTAGCACAATTTAGTCTGTCTCTCCCTTTCAAATCCAAACCAACTTAAAAGTCCATGTCTGTACTGGCTTCTCTTTCTGCCTAGTTTTACTCTCCCTAATCTCTTACTTCCACTTCCCTAATAAACTACCTGTACACAAGTCCTTATTTTAGTTACCTCTTACACAGGAAAATAGGATAAGAAAACATGTAAGACAGTGCTCTTCCATTTTCCACCCGCCCTTCCCATTTCTCAACTCTCGTCTTGCTCCATAAAAGTTTTAAAACTCATAGAAGCGCTACGAGGAGTTGTACAGAAAGGGTGAGAATCAGGTCACAGAGGCTGGGAGCCACCAGTGCCAGATCATTCTTGATTTCAACTACAGGGGTCACCTCTAGAAGCCTGAAGTCTGTAAAGAAAATCACTCCAGGTCGTAATTACTGCTGGAGAACTTCTATCCAGGTACAAACCTTAATACTGTATTCAAATAAAAGTAGTTTTAAAAAAATAATCCATAGCTCATTTTCTAAATATCTGTTGAAAATATGATTTCCCTTAAAACCCATAAGACTCAAAGAATGCTGAGGAAAAATTGCAAGACACAGCCAAATATGAATACAAAACCAGGTTTACATCAGTCAATAAAAGCATTTTAGATGATTATATGCTTCGCCCACAAGCAAGAATTATTATGCGTCTCAGCCATAGATATTCGATAAGAAAATTTAAATTAAGTTTATATTTCTACATCTGTAAACTAACAATCTGCAACAAACTAAAAAATGTCTATTCCATTTCAGTTTTTTATCTTTTACACTAGAAAATTAAGAGGGATTTTGCAGAACTAGAGAAAACATGCTATGGCTCGATTCTGCAGGCATTTTACAATAATTTGCCATTATCAATAAAAGCATATTTTCAATTAAGATTTGTATTTTTAAATGTTCAATATAATTAATCTAACAATGTTAGTTCAAGTTTCCTAAGCGAAACTGTCCTTCATTTCAAATTATCAGTAATATTCTCTGTACAAAGCAACACAAATTCAATTCTATAGTTTGTTCTCAGCTTTTAAAATATCTTTCAAAGCAAATAATGCTTTGGATGAACCCTGAAGACATTATGTTAAGTGAAATAAGCCAGGCATAAAAGGACAAATATTGTATGATTCCACCAATATGAAATACCTAGAGTAGTCAAATACATAGAGACAAGAAGTAGAATGGTGGTTTGCCAGGAGGTGGGGGAGGGGAAAATGGGGAGTCATTGTTTAACGGACAGGGTTGCTGTTTAGTCAGATGAAAAGAGTTCTGGAGATGAGTGGTAGTAATAATTATACAACAATGTGAATGTACTGAATGTCACTGAATACTTAAAAATGGTTAAAATGGTAAATTTTATGTTATGTATATTTTATCAATTTTTTTAAAAAATAATAATATTTGCATTGACCCTCCCCTTAAATTTAACTTTCAGGAGTCACAAGACTGTAACTTGGTGGCATTAAACTCCACATAATTACTAGACAATAAATTTTATTACATTAAAATCTAACTTGTACAGGGCTTTATCAACTGAAAATGTCTATTAACTGCCTCTTCCACAAGACAATGACACTTTATAGTCAAAATAATGAAAAAAGATTCCAAAATCTAAGAAATATTTTGTAGTACAGCATTTTTCTGCTGGAAGACCCATCTCCTTGAAGATCATCAAATCAACTCAGCTCATTTTCAAACTCAGAAACTGAGGCTCAAGAGGTAAGTGACTCCCCAAAGGGCACAGAGCCATTAGAGGCAAAGCTTTACCCCAAGCCCTTTTTTATTTACTCCAACGCTAATACTCCTTTTGCTAACCAATCTTGGCAAGTCGTTCATTCAGAATACTGAAATATTCTACATATACAGGTAATTATAGCTTATGGTTACTTTACTAAGATAGTTATTTGTCCTAATATGCACACCTCATAGAATTTCTCCATCAGAAAAGAATCAAATGGAGCAGGAATTTGCTTACTTATTTTCAAGTTAGAAAACTAATAAACATTTTTTGAAGCACAAAAATTCAATGAGAATATATTTGGATAAGTTACCATAGACAGCTGTGGTAAAGCTCTTGCTGGTGCCTTGAACTTTTCTTTGCTGGCTAATTTCTCCTGTGTGAAAAATATGAAGGGGAAAAAAGTGTTTACTCTGTTAGTGCTAAAATTGATTCACTGAACCAAATTTTACAGAAAGACTATTTAAAAAGTACATATTATCCAACATATTCAAAGATAAACTTTACTGCTTTTTAAATTCTCAGGTTTGTCTCAGAATTGTTTTCTTTAGAGCAAGAAAATAAAGGAAAATTATATCCAGCAATACTTATCAGAAAGCTTTAAAAAGTATGCAAAACCGGCCAGGCGCGGTGGCTGTAATCCCAGCACTCTGGGAGGCTGAGGTGGGCGGATCACAAGGTCAGGAGATCGAGACCATCCTGGCTAACATGGTGAAACCCCGTCTCTACTAAAAATACAAAAAATTAGCCGGGCGTGGTGGTGGGTGCCTGTAGTCCCAGCTACTTGGGAGACTGAGGCAGGAGAATGGCGTGAACCCAGGAGGCGGAGGTTGCAGTGAGCAGAGATCGCACCACTGCACTCCAGCCTGGGCGACAGAGCAACACTCTGTCTCAAGAAAAAAAAATAAATAAAAAATAACAAGTTCTACCTAGGAACTACTGACACTCACCAATCAAAACTCGCCAGCTCTTGTAAGACACTGCCAGTGCCAATAAACTTTCTTTCAGAACAACTTGTATAACCTCCTCTTTCCCCAATTAAACCCTAATCATTTAACTTGTTCTCCAGACATACTGGAGGCCACCCTAGTCTGTACGTAAGTCCTGGATTGCAATCTCACTTCCTGTATATTATTCTCAAATAAAACCTTTTTACTTGTATGCTTATATTGCAAGTTGACAGCAACTTTCCACAAGTCTCACTTATACCACAGACAGAGACTTCCTTTCAAACTTTCAGGATCCCAGTAGGTGGTTTTCACCTCCCAGCCCAGACCTGCAGCTCTTCAGCAAATGTCTTTGTCATCCAGTGGGCCACAGCCACATCTCCCATGAGGTCTGAATCTAAGGCTTTGGGGAAGGGACGGCTCTTCCAAGTTTGTTCCTTGAGCACTCTCTCTCAGACCTAGAGGGAGTGGCTGCTCCTTATATCTGCTATTCCTCTATTCTTCAGGGCTGTGCTGTCCAAAACAGTATGCACTAGCCCCCTGTAACTACCAAACACTTGAAATGCGGCTCCTCTGAAGTGAGATGTGTTTAAGTTTAAAATATGTACTAGATGTTGAAGACTTAGTACAAAACACAAAGAATGTAAATTATCAATGTTTATATATTGATTAGAGCATATTTTATGTTGATTACCATATGTGTTCCACATTGTTCTAAGAAGCTTACATGAATTAACACCTTTAATATTCTATACGCTGTGGGGTAAATACTGTTGTACCACTTTTATGCCTATTACGTAGATAAGAAATCATGTAGTCTCTGCCTTCACAAAGCACACAGTCCAGTTAATATTAAAGACCATGTGCTTCCATCTAGGACAGGATGTGGAGCAGAGTATTCTAAGAACGTTTCAAAAAGAAAAAGGGTGGAGCTAAGCCTTAAAGCATACCTGGATCTCCACAGAGAAGGACAGCAAAGAGCTTACTGAAGTCAGAGGGCGCATCAAGAATTGGAGTCTAAATGTCAATGGCAGGCTTTGAGGCTATGTTGGAGTGGATGGGGAAGGTAATCCATTCCCTAACTCAACAATGGTTCACCAGCTCCTACCATGTGCTGGGCTCATAGACTAAGTCATAGGACTACAGACTAAGATACCTAGTCCATAGTCGTGGAAAGGACTAAGTCCCTCTGCTTATGGAGTACACATTCTAGAGGAGGTACAGTTATTTCAGAACAGATCTATAACATAATCTCAGAAACTAGTATGTACAATGAAGAATAATAAAACAGTGTGAAGGAACAGAGAGGGAAGGAGTGGAAAAGTGCTAGGTAGATGGAGTAGTAAGACCCTCTCTGCAGAGGTTATGTTTGAATAGGAACCTGAATAAAAGGTAGGGGAAGAACAAACTAGAGCTAGACAAGTGGGTGCTGTTATATTAAGGAGGACATGGGTTTCAGGGCTTGACTGGCCAGGCTGGCAATAGAGAGCCACTGCAGTCTCCTTTTAGGGTGAACTTTAGTCTCAGTTTGCGGAAGACAGTCTCAGTTTACACCTTTAGTCTCAGTTTGCCCAAGCATAACTAGTAGAACTTTCGCTCTCAATGGCATCTTAGTTTAGATGATAAATTATAATGCTATCCTGTTTATGATGTAGAGACATACAAAAGCTATTTCATAAATGGTTCTGATGATACAAACAGGATACATGAGAAGCAGGGGACTAGAGTCAGCAGTGAGGCTAGTTTAGCAGGTTTTTAAGAATAATATAGGCAACAGGAGACATGGGCCTGGATTTACAGAAAATGCTGGTAACAAAAGGTCACCTCTACCTCTCAAAGGCACTGCTCTGATCATACTGCTCCCCTGTTCAGAAACATTTTAAAGCCCCCTGTTGAAGTAGGCACAACTCTTCTTGGTGTCCAAAGCCTTCCTCAACATACTCCAAACTATTTTCCAGCTTCTCTTAGTTACTTTGTAGCCATATGATTTGTGTGGCTAGTGAAATGTGAGCACAACAGGAAACACAGTTAAGTGCTAGAGGGACAGGCAGTTAAGAGCTAGAGGGACAGGGAGTTAAGAGCTGGTGTGCTTCCTCCATCACTATCTCACACCCATGAAGCCCATGTGTTCCCACTGGCATAGCTATAAGATGCAGCGCTACCTGACCCTCGTCAGACTTCATGTGAGCAAGGCCTAATCTTTGTTGGGTTAAGTCTCTGAGATTTCGACTTCCATTTGTTTTGTCAGATAGTATTAATTACCCTGTCAGAGCCACCAATAGGTTCCAAAATATCTCCCTGTTAAAATCTAGCCCTTTAAGACCAAAATCGAAAAAGTTTACATTTCATTTCTTAACTCCAACTGTAAGTAATCTCCTTTGAAGATGCATAGCATTCTTTATTGTTTAAATTATTTTTGGCTGGGTGTGATGGCTCATGCCTGTAATCCTAGCACTTTGGGAGGCAAAGGGGAGCGGAGTGCTTGAGCTCAGGAGTTCAAGACCAGCCTGGGCAACATGGTGAAACTCCATCTCTACCAAAACAGATACACAAAAATAACCTGGGTATGGTGGTGCCTGTGGTCCCGGTTACTCAGGAGGCTGAGGAGGGAGGATTGCTTGAGCACAGGAGGTGGAGGTTGCCATGAGCCAAGACTGCACTACTGCACTCCAGCCTGGGCAACAGAGAGACACCTGTCTTTAAATAAATAAAATATATTCTGATATATGAATTATGTGTACACCTACCTATACTGTTCTCCTAACCCCTCACCCCACCCCACCTCCACCTACTAAATCAGTCTTATAGAGATGAGTGACATGGTTTGGCTGTGTCCCAACCCAAATCTCATCTTGAATTATAGTTCCCATAATCCCTATGTGTCATGGGAGGGACCTGGGTGGGAGGTAATTGAATCATGGGAGCAGTTTCCCCCATGCTAGTCTTGTGATAGTGAGTTCTCACAAAATCTGATGGTTTTATAAGGGGCTTCCCCTTCACTTGGCTCTCATTCTTCTCCCTCTTGTCTCCTGCCACCATGTGAAGAAGAAAGTTGCTTCCCTTTCCACGATGTTTGTAAGTTTCCTGAGGCCTCCCCAGCCATGTGGAACTGTGAGTCAACTAAAGCTCTTCTCTTCACAAATTACCCAGTTTCGGGTATTTCTTCATAGCAGCATGAGAAGGAACTAATACAATGGGAAAACTGACTTTAAAGTCATTTTAGCTTTATCTTAGAAAATCATAAAATGGTGAGGCTGGGCACAATGGCTCACAGCTGTAATCCCAGCACTTTTGGAAAGCCAAGGCAGGAGGATCACTAGAGCCCAGGAGTTCAAGACCAGCCTGGGCAACATGGTGAAACCCTGTCTCTACCAAAAATACAAAAATTAGCTAGGCGTGGTGACCCATGCCTGTGGTCCCAGCTACTGGTGAGGCTCACATAAGCCCAGGAGGTAGAGGCTATAGTGAGCCATGATCACACCACTGCACTCCAGCCTGGACAACACAGCAAGACCTCCTTGTCTCAAAAAAAAATTACAAAATGGTTAACCATGCCCTAAAAAATGGATAACTAAAGATAAGAAAAGAAAAGAAAGGAAAAGAAAAGGAAAGAGTGCAATGAGCTTCAGACAGTACTTTCTGAAATACAAGCACCAGATTAGGGGAACGTTTCACACATATACAATGCTGTAACCCAAATGGTTCTGGTTTCTACAATTCCCACTGGGCTACACAATGGGAAGGGAAATATGAGCACAACATTTTCAAGCTAACAGGTGCAATAGGTGTTCTCAGAGTTGAAGCCTTCCCTTTGGGGAGAATGAGGGTGTGGCAAAGGCCTGAGAAGAATGCAGTTATAGATGACAGAGAGGAATGGCTCTGGGATGTCTAGTCCAAGTGCCCTGGAATTTTCACATCAGGGACAGAGGTAATTCGAATGACATCTATTGTCCTGGAGTCACTACAAATATCCAAAACACCCTATGTAACCCAAGCCTCCTATACAACAACCCCATCACTGCCACCACCCTGACTTTTTAAGATCTCTGCATCATCCATGCTGTTGCTGAGCTATTTCTCCAAGTCTCACCATCACTCTAGGTGAAGAAGGGTGGTGAGGACCTTAATGTTTTCTTCTTACATTGCAGTGCGGAATATGTATCTTATAGAATATTTTACAAATAGTGCTTCTCTAGCTAACCAAGACAAGCAGCCACACATATGTCAGAAAAATCATCTGGCAAATGATGCCTCACATCCTGCTGGCCTCACCTTGGATTCCAGACATGGCTGCAGTAAACAGTTCTGTGCTAGCTTCTCACATCAAGAAAATATCTTTTGTGGCCGGGCGCAGTGGTTCACGCCTGTAATCCCAGCACTTTGGGAGGCCGAGGCGGGCGGATTACCTGAGGTCAGGGGTTCGAGACCAGCCTGGCCAACATGGTGAAACCACATCTCTACTAAAAATACAAAAATTAGGCAGGCGTGGTGGCATACACCTGTAATCCCAGCTACTCAGGAGGCTGAGACAGGAGAATTGCTTGAGCCCGGGAGGCGGAGGTTGCAGTGAGCCAAGATCATGCCACTGCACTCTGTCTGAAAAAAAAAAAAAAAAGAAAAAAGAAATGTTTTTTCTTTTCTGCAGGGGGAATCCTCTAATGCTACAGTATGGGACTCTAGGAAGAGCCCACTCTGCTCACACACATGAGCAGCCAGAAGAGGATGGGAGTCAACATCCCCAGGAACAATCTTTCACCAATACAGGATGAAAGATGACAGATAAATGCTATTCCTTGACCCTCCTCAGGTGATCAATTCCAGGAAGCATTCTATAAGCTCAGAGGTCATGGCAGGACATACCAGTTGCCTACTGTGCTAATCAACTTGATAGCCCATGGTTGTGTGGCCTTTCCTTCTTCCTACTTTTACTCTCCTCAGTCTCTTATTATTGCGTCTCAAATACACTACCTGCACACAAGTCCTTGTTTCAGATAACTTGTGCACAGGAAAATAGGCTAGGAAAACATGTAAGTCAGTGCTCTTTCATCTTTCCATTTGCTCTTTCATTGTTCAACTCTAATCTTGTTCCATAAAAGATTTAAGACTTGTGGGAGGGATATGAATGAGGTGTGCAGAAAGGGTGAGAATCAGGTCACCAGCTCACAGGGGCTGAGAGCCACCAGTGCCAGTTTCAACTACAGGGTTCACCTCTAGAAGCCCGAAGGTCCGTAATTAAAATCATTCTATGTCTTAATTACTGCGGAAGAACTTATAGCCAGGAACAAACTTTAATATTCAAATAAAAATTTTTAAATAAATGAATGTTTTTAAATACCTCTTAAAAATCTAATTTCTTTTAAAAGACATAAAACTCAAAGGATACGGAAGGAAAATTACAAGAGCCAGTCAAACATGAGCACAATATAAGGTTTTAAATCAGCCAACGAAAGCATTTTAGACAATTACATGCCTTGCTGACTAGAAGAGATTATTCAACTCAGCCACTGAATATTTATTCAGCAAGTAAATTTAAATTTAACACGCCAAAAAAGCTAATACCTTTTTTCAATTTTAGAATTTGTCAAATTTTTTAAAAGAGAAAATGTCTATTTCATTTCAGGTTTACTTATAAACTAGAAACAAGATAAATATTTGCAGAACTAAAAAAAATGCTTTGATTCTATTTTGTAGAACTTTTGGTAATCTTGGTATTATTAATATGAATAAGTACACAATTAAAACATGTACTTGAAATGTCCAAGATCATACACTTAAAATTTTCATCCAAGTTTTTTTATTTCAAAACATTAGGAATCAACTCTGCATAAAGCAGTCCAAATTCCATTACACAGTTCATGCTGAGCTCTTAAAATGTTTCAAAACAATTAATATTTGAATTGAAACTCCACTTAAACTCAACTTCTGTAGAAGTTATAATAGTTTAACTCAACCGCATTAAACTCAACATACCTAGACAGCAAATTTTATTCTGTAAAATCTAACCTGGACCCAACCATCCTGTACATACCTGAAAATTACAGCCTATAGTTATTTTATTGTTATTATTCTTCCTATGTACCTCACAGAATTCCTCCATCAGAAAAGAATCAAATGGAATTTAAAATTGTATAAAATTTAAAATCAGAAATTCAGTAACTTACTTTCAAGCTTGAAAAGTAGTAAACAAACATTATCATAAAGGAATGAAGTATGATGGTATATTGGTAAATTACCATAGACAGCTGTGGTAGAAATCTTACTGGTTTCTTGGATTTTTCTTTGCTGGCCGATTTATCCTGTATGAAAAACATGAAAAAACAAAACTGTTTACTCCGTTAATGCTAAAATTGATTCACTCAACCAAATTTTACAGTGTTTATTGTAAGCATACATCATCCAAAATATTCTAAAACATACTGTACAAATGGCATGATCTTATATACTGAAAATCTTAAATAATTCATCAAAAAATATTAAAGCTAGTCAATGAGTTCTTGTATCCAGGTAGGTTGCAGGATACAAGATCAACACACAAACATCAAATATATATAGGATACGCCAGGAGGGCGATGCATCCCAATTCCACAGGGAGAGGACATGGAAGCTCCGCACCCAGGACTCTCCCAGGCCTATCCCCATGTGTCTCTCCACGTGTTTTTTCCTGATTTGTATCCCTTATAATAAAACAGTAATAATACATATTCTAAAAATCAATTGTATTTAATATAATTGTATTTAATACAAAATTGAAATTGAGACAATTCCATTTACAATTGCATGAAATAGAATAAAAGACTTAGGAATAAATTTAACAAAAGTGTAAGACCTATACAATGAAACCATAAAACATTATTGAAAAAAATTAAAGTTCTTGATAAATAAAAGGACAACCCATGTTCATGGATTGGGAGACTAATATTGTTAAGATGCAATACACCCTGAAAATATTCTACAGATGGAACATAATCCCTATCAAAATCCCAGCTTCCCTTCTTGTAGAAATTAACAAATTGATCATAAAATTAACATGGAAATGTATCAAGAAGAATCAAACAATCTTGAAAAAGAGGAACAAATTGGCAGACTCACACTTCGAGATTTTACGACTTACTACAAAACTACAGTAATAAAGACTGCATTGCTCTAGCATAAGGATAAACAGAGATCAAGGGAATAGAATTAGGAGTTCAGAAATAAACCCAGACATTTATGGGCAATTGATTTTTCATGAGGGTTCCAAGACAATTTAATGGAGAATTGGGCATATCTTCTGGAAGTCTGTCTGAATCTAATTTATTCAAAACTTACTTGGCCCCACCTCCCTTCTCTATAACTAAAACTTCAATTTTTTTTTTCCTAGAATGGTCTACTTCCTAAGGTGAATATGTATTCTGGTTTTTCCCCCCGCAAGCTGCCATAAGTAACATTTGAACCTCTTAGCAGTAACCTTAAGAGAAAGGGGCTAATCTCCTTTGCAGTAGAGAATAATTCCATGGTAGAAGTTTTGTCTAAGTGAGAGGAAGCATTTGTTGAAAATGACAATTTGATCTATAAAGCAGATAATATGAGTTGTGCTTCTGGCCAGTTGTCAATTTATTGCCTCAGCTCCAAATCTGCCTTTTTTGCCCTCCTTTGGGATATGTCACAGGACATTATAACATTTCTCCTTTGACAACCAGCATATTATCATGGGTGCCAAGAAGCACTGTAAGAGGAAGAGGCTTTCTTCCTGATTCCAGTGCTTTTTCTCATAGCTCCCATGGTGTGGCTGCCAGCAGTCAGCAACCTTGTCAATCTGTGGTGTGAGGCTAACTCAGAGGCAGACACCCTCCAGCAAGTTTCGCCAGCATCCCTGTGGGCAGCTTTCCACAAGTTTCACTTACATCACAGAGGGAGACTTCCTTGCAAACTTTCAGGATCCCAGCAGGTAGTTTTCTCCTCCTAGCCCAGACCTGCATCTCCTCAGCAAATGTTTGTCCACCCACTGGGCCACAGCCACACCTTCTCCCATGAGGTCTTAAATCTAAAGGCTTTGGGGAAGGGATGGCTCTTCTCTTCGAGCAGAGAGTCTCTGCTCTCTTAACATTCTGGTTAATATTAAACCTATGTTTCTGGCTGGGCGCAGTGGCTCATGCCTGTAATCCCAGCACTTTGGGAGGCCGAGGTGGGCGGATCACGAGGTCAGGAGATCGAAACCATCCTGGCTAACACGGTGAAACCCCGTCCGTACTAAAAATACAAAAAACAATTAGCCGGGTGTGGTGGCAGGCGCCTGTAGTCCTAGCTACTCAGGAGGCTGAGGCAGGAGAATGGTGTGAACCCAGGAGGCAGAGCTTGCAGTGAGCCAAGATTGAGCCACTGCACTCCAGCCTGGGCAACAGAGAGAGACACTGTCTCAAAAAAAAGAAAAACAAAAACAAACAAACAAAAAAACTACGTTTCCATTCAATAAAGAGAGATGGCTTGGAGCAGAGTATTCAAAATATCTACTTGCAGTCTGTCCATTATCCCCCAAACTCTCTTTTCCAAAATAATGAGGTTTATTTTCAATGTATATGTCCTCCATTCACAGATAATCTCTTTTCTGTCTCAGTCTAAAGATTTTCTGCTTATCTCTGGTGTTGTTTCCCTTATAGAGGCCAAGGTGGTATTTACTTTTATTTCTATCACTTGGCCTTTAATACATTTTTCAGTCAACTACTAAAGGACATTGTTTTTGCTGCAGCAATTTGAAACTCTCTCTAATGTGCCTTTTGTTCTCTCCCTATTATTTTCACTAGTATGCAAACATGTTAAAATCCCATCAGAAAAAGTATCAGCCTTAATCCTATATTCCCTCTAGCAATTGCCCGATTTTTCTGCTCCCAATTTCTCCAGAATGTTCTCCAGTGAGGTATTTATTCCTTGCATACCACTCTCATCAAGAGCTCTGATTACCTCCACAATGCCAAGTCCTGTGGTAAATTCTCAGGCCTCATTTTACTCAATCTTTTAACAGTATTTTGACACAGTTGATCACTGTCTCCTTCCTGAATACTGTCTTCACTCAATTTCCAGAATGATTATATATTTTATACTCTTCCTAACTCTGTGAACACTTAAACTTTTCATTGCCAATTCATTCTCATTTTTTAAAGTTCATTTTTAAATTTACAAATAAAAATTGTATACATTTATGGTATACAATGTGGTGTTTTGATACATGTATAAATCGTAGAATGGCTAAATCAAGCTAATTAACATATGCATTACCCCACATACTTATTTTTTGTGGTACGAGCACTTAAAATCTACTCTAATAGCAGTTTTCAAGGATATATTTTTATGAAGTCTAGTCATCATGATGTATAATAGATCTCTTGATCTTATTTCTCCTGTTCCTTCTCATTTTCTGATCTTCGTGTGACAGACATCCCTCAATCCTCAGGTATGTTTCCTTTCTAATTGACCCCATCCAGCCCAAATATTTTAAATATTACCCCATATACTGGAATCTCCCAAATTTATCTCCCCCGTATTAACCTTTATCCTAAGTTCCCCACTCCTATATTTGATTTTTGCTCTCTCTACTCAGAGGTCAAATAGACATCTCTAACTTAATGTGTCCAAAATATTGTTTGATCAATAAACTCCCACAAACCCTACCAGAACTTCCCCATATTTTCTTAAACTCAGTAAATGGCATCACCATTAACACCATTATTTAAGCTAAAATCCCTGGTACCATCCTTGATTCCTCCCTTTTTCTCATATCACACATTTAATTCAGTAGTAAACCCTTTGAGCTTTACCTAGAACATATATCCTGGATCCAACATCTCACAATATCCATTATTACTGTAACCATGGTCTAAGGAACTGGAAAGAAAGTGGAGAGTGGAAAGAGAGATCGGGGTGGAGAAAAAGAAAGAATGGGGGATCAAGAAAGAACGGGAAGAGGAAAGGAGACAGAATCCTTATTATATCATGTGTCCATTACATACCTGAATCTATTCTGATGTCCATTCTCTTGGATTTCCCAGTTCAGTAAACCATAAAAAATCTGTTTTATTTTTTGAAGTTTGAGTTCCATCGTACTTACTTACAATAAAAAGAGCTTCTACTCTTGGTCATCAGTCTCAGTGACTTAAAAATATACATGTGACTAAATCTACCTAACAGCCTAGTCTCTTAGTTACTTAACCTCCTCATCTGTAACCTTCTCTTCCACTTCATCTCTGTCAATGACTTTCATGGCAACCCCTCTAAGATCTTATCACTAAATATGGCAGCTCTTGTGAAATCTTGCTTTTAAAACATTCTTTTCTCTGACCACCACATCCTTTGCTCCCAGCAAGTATGATATGATGCCCTCCTATATTTCTTTGTTTTGACTGAGACCTCTAATATCTAAGCTCCTTCTCAGTATCCATCTGCTCCCTCATATCTTCTCTTCCTCCTTGCCCAATTTAGATTCTACAGTCCATAGTCACAACTACACCCTATCAAATACCCTCAACTCCCTCTGGCACATACTTAACTAAACCATAATCCCATTGGAATTCAACTACTTACCTTCTCTATGCTTGTACCCAAGTAGGTATGTATTACTGAGGAAAATCACATCTCCAGTCCTATTGGATTCACTTTAAGTGCATGATTAGTAATCTCAGACATTGAAAACTTTTGAGATTTTCTAATAAATTTGGTATCCTAAGTTTTGTAATGACCTATCTCCAGAGTTTCTCACACATCATCATTTTAGTACTTGAGAATGCCTCCATCTTCCTGTAACTAAATCTACAGACCTACTTACGATCACACCTTCATTGTTCTTCTATCCTTCATCTACAAGCAGTTGGGGACACTATCGCCCCTACGATCACAGGCCAATCCCTCCATCTCCTTTCACTTTATTGAAGACAGTGCTTTTCTGATAATCCTCCTTCTTCCTTGAATTAGCAATGCCTCCCTTTATGCTACAGAACTCCCATCAACATTCAAATAAAGAATGTTTACTTTTATTTTTGTTTTAATGTTATATTTAATCAACATTTGCTGTTAATGGCAGCATGGTTTTGTTTTTGTTTTTTGTTTGTTTGACACAGAGTCTCATTCCATCACCCAGGGTGTAGTGCAGTGGCGCAATCTCGGCTCACTGCAACCTCCACCTCCTGGGTTCAAGCCATTCTCCTGCCTAAGCCTCCCGAGTAGCTAGGATTACAGGCGTGTGCCACCACACTGGCTAATTTTTGTATTTTGAGTACAGATGGGGTTTCGCTACGTTAGCCAGGCTGGTCTCGAACTCCTGACCTCAGGTGATCCACCCACCTCAGCCTCCCAAAGTGCTGGGATTACAGGCATAAGCCACCACGCCTGGCCAGGTTGGTTCTTTTCAGACACTTTCCTCCTAGGATCTACAGTTTGCTTCTATTATCCACTACGGAAGGCATGTGCTGATACTGTGGTTGGATCGTTAATTCTTGCCATCATGTGACCTGCTGCCACTAGAACTGCAGAATGTTTCTAACTAGTTCAACATATTGGGTATCAGGGAGTGGCTTCCTCTGATTCCCAGGTTGCAGGAATTTCTTAATTCTGGGGATGTTGCTGATTCCTGTTTAAAACGCCTTCAACAGAGGGAAGTCAGAAAGAACAGAAGCATTGAGTTCTTCTACTATTAGAACAGCTTCTAACAGTTGTATGTCTGCCCAACTGAATTTGTTGCCAACAAGAAGATCCTCTCCATGGTCTTTCAAAATCTTTTCAAAGATGGCCAAGTACTGGGTTTTAGCTTTCTTCACAACTGAGCAAGGTTCTCCTCTTTTTCCTCAGTGGGCCAGCGCCATCATCATCATCAGGTCCAGGGTGCCCTCAGCACACATGTTGATCCCGACTCTCTCCTTCAGGTCCTTTCCACAGACATTGTACTTAGCAGCAAGATAGCTGAGGATGGCTGTAGTCAGTGTCAGCATCATTCCATCAATTTCAACCAAAGGCACTTGGCCAAAATGCAGGCGTCTATCCTTCTGCAACTTTTCATATTATTATCTTGTTTCAATAAATTCTTCTTCAAACTCTATTCCAGCTGCAGCCAGCAGCCAGAGGACTGACTCCACCCTGCCCCTGACATGAAAGTAGTAGAGCTTGGGTTTGGCTGCCATGCCTCCTGGCTCAAGATTTTCTGTTCAGCTATCTGGAAGCTCCAAGAATGTTTATTTTTAAAAAGAAAGGAGGCCAGGCGCGGTGGCTCATGCCTGTAATCGCAGCACTTTGGGAGGCTGAGGCAGGCGGATCATAACATCAGGAATTTGAGACCAGCCTGGCCAATATGGTGAAATCCCATCTGTACCAAAAATACAAAAATTAGCTGGGCGTAGTGGCGGGTGCCTGTAGTCCTAGCTACTCAGGAGGCTGAGGCAGGAGAATGGCGTGAACCTTGGGAGGTGGAGGATGCAGTGAGCCAAGATCGTGCCACTGCACTCCAGCCTAGGTGACAGAGTGAGACTCCGTCTCAAAATAAATAAATAAATAAATAAATAAATAAATAATAAATAATAAATAAATAATAAAAAGAAAAACAAAACCTTCAATTGTGCTTTTCACTCCAATTATCACCCAATTAATTTATCTGTTTCCTGTACCAACATTGTCTGTGCAGACTATCTATATTTACTCACGTCTTATTCTCTTTAAAATTAGGAAATATTTCAAACATACAGAAAATAGCATCATGAACACTTATGTATCTTCAACCCAACTCTTTGCCATCCTGGAATTTTGTGTTTATCATTCCTATGCAAATTTTTACTACACTTATTACTACATATGATTGTCAAACAATCTAAGATATTGTTACTACATGATTTTAAATTTTATATAAATGCCATCACACAATTTGTATCCTTCTGCAACATGCTTTTTAATATTACATTTTTGAAATGTATCCCCATTAATACGTTTCTCAATGATTTTCACAGCTGTATAGTACTCTGTGAGCATAGTACAATGTATCCATTCCATTCTCTAGCGAATGAACATTTAACTTATTTCCAATGTTTCTCTATTACAAAAGATGTCTCAGCGAACTCCTTGGGCATGTATTTTAGTATAAACACACACAGTTCTTAGGCATGTATCTCATATATACATACATATGTGTGTATATGTAACATAAATATATATGTGCATCTCTGTTTTGTCCCTTTAATTCCATTGGTTTATTATCCATAAAAAAATTTGTATTATATTGCCTAATTTACTATGATTCCTGATAGGTCTTGATATCTGTAGGGCAATTCCCTCCACTTTACCTTTCTTAAAAATTATCGTAAACAATCTTGACCTTTTTTCTACCATGTGAAATTTAGGATCTACACTGCATGAAATTTTTTAGGACAATGATAGAAACACATTGAATACTGACTCTTCTCTCTTTTGAACACAATGTATTTCTTTACTTATTCAGATTCTGGGAGCATATCCTTCAGAAACATTTTGTAGTAGTCTTCATAAGGGTGTCATATGTCTTTTTTAGACTTATTCTTAGGTATAAATATTTTAAATGAAAAATTCATCATAGGAACTCAACAACTGTTAATCCAACTGATTTATGGACAGGGAACTATGAAGATTGCATCCATTTATAATAATGTCTGTGATGGTTGTGCTCTGCCTCAGATCAATTCTTTACCCTCTTCTTCCTGCTCTGTGCCTGGGAGGCTGAATTCTACAGATGGACATCATCTGTGCCTTCAGTTCTCTGACTTCTAATAGGAATTATCCAAAAAAGGCACCAGGAGGAGACTGAAGAGCAGGAGGGCAGAAAGTTTAGGATATTTGTTTCCTAGTCTTCCCTGTTCCCTGTTGTTCTGATAGTGGCTGAATTCTTCCAGACCTCAGCTCCTGTCAGGAAGCTACCATTCCAAGCGTCTAGCACTCATCAGGGTCTGAGAATAATGTTCAGTTTCAATGACCCATCAGGCCTAGCCATGGTAATGGCATCCTACTGTCCTACTGCTGTTAATCCTTGAGTGTCTCTTCATCCCTCGTGGTTCTCTTAACCTTACCTTTCATGCTTCCAAAGGAAAACTACACTCTAAATTAGCATAAATGAAATTCTCAAGATTAGTTTTTAACCTTACCAACACCTCTACAAATGGTCTTTTTATAAATGTTCTTCAGTTAAGTCCTTTTGAGTATGCCATCTGTTTTCTGTTGGGATCCTGACTAATATAATTTTACATTCTAAAATTAAAATTGCTAAGGAGTCTGGGTCTTCCTTAAATAGCCTGGCTTTGCATTTTGTTTTTACTTCACTGATTTTCACCTACTTGACTGCTGGAAGAGATGTCATAAACCTGGGATAGCCCAAGTATTAACCCTCCTGATCAAATGACTAGAATCTATAAATGTGTCTGGTTAAATCAACAATAACCTCTCAAAATTTCATAGTACTGATTTAAATATAGTTGTCAGTTGTCACACGTTTGAGTTCTGGTTGTTAAAGTTATCACCATGCTGTTGGTCTCATATCCAACTTTTTTCATTCTTTCCCCTTTTTAAGCAATGACATTTCAAAAACATGATGAAGGAAAATGGAATGAGCATCACATCATATAAACACAAATTACTTGATTCCATAACTAGAAAAAGTGCTGGGGTAGAAAAAGACTGACAGCTTTTTCCTCTTCTCTGCCCACAATCTGTAGTATATCTGTGGGGAGCTTCCTGGTCTTCGGATATTTGTGCCTTTAAACCTCTCAAAGTTTTTCAACTGATACTAAAAATGCCTTTTAAAGTTTTAACTCATTTTAAAAATGAAATGAGCAATTGCAAAAGATTTACATTTCTTCTAAATGCCTAATTTAAGAGAAAAGCCCAGACTGCTATTCCTGAAAAATTCCATGTCACTCTCAACCTTCCACTAATGAGATGAATATGTTAAAATCTCCTTCAGCAAATACGATTTTACCACCTGCTCACTTTCTCAAACTGAATGAATATACAAGTAAATGTCACATAAAAAATGGCATTTCCAGAAGTTTAATCCATTCTGTTTGTTTTAGGTTAAAACATAAAAACTTTCATCCTTCCAAAGGAAAGCTACACTCTAAATTAGCATAAATGAAATTCTCAAGATTAGTTTTTAAATTACAAATCAACCAAAACAGTGATAGAGGGCCCTCTGCTGTTCAAAAATAGTAAGTGGAAAATGGAAATCATGTCCATTCTTTTAAGATCCCGCTGCCTCTTCAATAAATCACAACCTTTCTGGAGGGGGAGTGAGAGACTAGGGTGTCATTTCCCAACATCACTTTTATAAAGATGAAGCAAAATTTAGAACTTAACGGCTGGTGGGTTTTTTGTGGATACTTTTTAGTTGTAGATGGGTAAGTTAGGGGAATTGTGAAAAACAGCTATTGAGAAATACCATTGGAAATGTGGTAAAAGTGTATTTTAAACTCTAACAACGTAGGATATGGTTCAAGATCTGGCCGAAGACTAACTTGGGCAACAAGCAAAGAAGCTGCTCAATATATAATAATGGTGACAGTAACAAATGTTATTTTTTAAATCTGATTACATTAATATCATGTAGAAAAAAACTAGTAAGATCTATTAAACAATTGCTCAGTGTTTTTGGTTACTTGTATCTGAACTTTTTGTTTTTTGCTTGTCATTTACTCTTTTATTATTAATACCAATACTAATTATACTTTAGCATATGAATCAGTGTCCATTTCTTAGTTCTTAAATTATACTTATTTTTTTAAAAAGGTTCAAACCAAATTTTCTTGAGCATTTCAGGTATTAATTACTTATTTGATGAACTAACCAATCAGGATCTTCACATAGTTCTGTTAGTAATGTACAACTCAATGGATAGGAGACTAAATCCGTTTTAATACTGTTTCCACAATAAATTCTAACACTACCGAAAAAAGCATTATAAAGCAATAAAAAAGAAATAATTACCGTTTAATATTGTTTAAAAGCTAAATGAAATTTGCAGGCTTAAAAACAACTGTTTTTCTTCCAGGAGGTTTATAGAGTCCTTTTCCTTATTCATCACTACGTAGAAAGCTAGAGTTATTTTCTAGCTAGCCAGAATAATGACCACGTTTAATATCTTCCCATTCTGTGCTGATATTAAGACGACTGACCATTGTTCTGCCTTTCTGTTAGTTGCTCTTAAGTTCAATAAAGAAAGAATTCTTAGAAGAAAAAGGAGAGAAAGACAGAAAGGAAAAAAACGAGAAAAAAAGAGAAAGAAAAGCAGCTATTGCAAAGTGCATCTTTTATCACATACCATGGAATATCATCTTAAGAAGTGCCATATGTCACTTACCAAGGCCTTTCATGTATAGTATAATATTGTATAGTTATGGTATGGCATGGTATCTAATTTGAAATTGACAACAACCTCAAAAAGAAGAAAAGTTGTTCTGATGTTTCCCCCGCTCTGCATAAGAGGTGGGAGAACTAAGGCTTACAAAGACTAAGAGATTTGTCCAAAGTCACATGGCTAGGAGTTGGCTTCGATTCCCACCTTAGAACCCAAACCCGCTGCAACTCCTCGCAGAGCCGCCTCTCACCCAAGCACACCGCCATTAGCACTCTGGGGGTGCTCTGGGCTGTGGCTCCCCCTGCTGGCGCGCCGCTAGGCGGCTAGGTTTGGTTGTTATGACGACCAAGGGCAAACAGCTGGGAAGGGAACTTATAAGGGCATTCACGGAAAGCGCTCAGTAACCCAGGCCACAAGTGGGGTGAAGGAAGCTGTACACCGCGGAGTCACAGCTGGGGAGTTCGCTAGGCAGGAGGGGCTTCCACCACTTCCGAAACGCCTGGGAAGCGTCGCGGCGGCGGCGAGCCTGGCAAAGAGCAGCCCTCTCACCTGCTCACTGCTCATGGCTGCGAGGACGCGCTGGCCTCACCGGTGCTTCTGGGTTGCTCCTGCCCGCGGAACCCCTAGGACGATAGAGGCAGGGCCCCGGGACTTGCAGCGGTCTCAGCTCCCTCCGCACCAGAGCCGTCTAGCGTCCGGGCAGCGTTTGTTGCTAAGCAACGGGCCCGCGCAGGTTCCATTTCCGGTCATCTGTTCCTTCTGGGGCTGGACCCGGAAGCTGGCGCGCGGTCCCGCAAGAGGAGCTTTCTGGGGCGCTGCTGCCAGTGTTGTGAGGTCTAAGGTGTGCGTTGAATAACCAAAGACACTGGGTGGGTCTCCTCCAATATCCTCTGATTACTGAAGTAGATCCTCACACTTCCGCACCCTCCTTCTAAATAAGCCGGATGCCCAGGACTGCTGCCTTAACCCCTCAGAGGTCTCGGAGAAACACTGGAATGAAATGATTACAGATTTCATTGCTAATGTGGGCGAGTGGAGTAATGCGAGGCAGGATCCAGTAAACACCTTTCATTATTCATGTGCTTCCAACCCCTGTGCTGTTGACTCTTCCCACACTCCAGAAAACTATCCTTTGGAAGAATACCAGTAAAGGAACCTTCCAACAATTCTTGAAACCAACATTCACAGATGGTTTACTACATGAAAAGTGGTGTGCTAAGCACAAATGTGACCAAGACATCCATTCGCCACAGGCTGGGGGGTGTCCAAGCCAAGCACTTACCGTGTAGTGGAGACGGTGCTAAGAATGGCAGTCCTCAGTGAGAACATAAAGCACCAACTAATTTTCTCATGGAGGGCATGGAAGGGATGTGGAAGCTGAAATGTGAAGGAAGAAGAAATGCCAGGCAAAGAATGCCGGGCAAAAAGCAGGTCACATACAAAGGCCTGAGACAAGAGAGCATAGCTATTGGAAGCAGTGAAAATGGTTCTGAGAGGTCGATGAGTAGGTTTGGATAAAGGGGATTGGAGCCAGTCTAGAGAAGAAGCTGAGGTGATAAGCAGGTGATATATCTTAAAGGACCCTATAAAAGGGCAGGAGTTTGGATGTCAAAAGCAACTGACCTCCACTGAAAAGTTTTATGCTAAGAAATGGCAGAATTCCATCCTGAAATTAACAAGGAACCCCAAGGGGTCATAAATAGCCAAAACAATCTTGAAATTAAAGAACAAAGTTGGAGTACTCACACTTCTTGATTTCAGAACTTACTACAAGACTATAGTGACCTTAACAATTTATTTTCAACAAATGATGCTGGGGAAACTAAATGTCCATATGCGGAAAAAAATGCAGTTGGACCTTTACCTAAAAACATCATATACAAAATTATCTCAAAATTGATCAAAGATGTAACTGTAAGGTCTTAAACTATAAAACTCTTAGAAGAAAACTTAGAAGAATCGCTTCACGACATTGGATTTGGCAGTGATTTCTTGGACATGACACCAAAACGACAAGGAAAAAATAGACAATTCGGCTGCATCAGAATAAAAAACCTTTGTGCATCAAAGAATACTCTCATCAGTAAAAAGACAATCCACACAGGCCGGGTGTGTTGGCTTACGCTTGTAATCCCAGCACTTTGGGAGGCCGAGGCAGGCAGATCACGAGGTCAGGAGATCGAGACCATCCCGCCTAACATGGTGAAACCCTGTCTCTACTAAAAACACACACAGAAAATTAGCCGGGTGTGGTGGTGGGCACCTGTAGTCCCAACTACTCGGGAGGCTGAGGCAGGAGAATGGCATGAACCCAGGAGGCGGAGGTTGCAGTGAGCCGACATCACACCACTGCACTCCAGCCTGGGCGACACAGTGATACTCCGTCTCAAAAAAAAAAAAAAAAAAGTCCACAGAATGGAAGGAGATATTTGCAAATCTGATGAGGGATTAATGTACAGAATATTAACAAGTGTTAATGAGGATGTAGAGAAATTGGAACTCTTGTGCACCACTGGTGGGAATGTAAAATGGTGCAGCTGGTATGGAAAACAGTATGGCAGTTCCTCCAAAAATTAAAATAGAAATATATTATGATCCAACAATTCCACTTCTGGTACAAACCTAAAGAAGTGAAAGCTGGGACACAAACATACATACATATATATATACATATATGTATATATATGCTCATATTTATAGCAGCATTATTCACAATAGTCAAAAGGTGAAGCAACCCAAATGTCCCTTGATAGACAAATGCATAAACAAAATGTAGCATATACATTCAGCCTTTTAAAAAGGAAGGAAATTCTGATACATTGCTACATCTGCTGCAACATGGATAAACCTTGAAGACATTATAACTGAAATTAGCCAGTCACAAAAGAAAGAAATACTGTATGATTCCACTCATCTGAAATACATAGAGTAACCAAATGTATATAGAAAGAAATTAGAATGGTGGTTGCCAGGGACTGGGAGAGGGAGGGCCAAGAAAGGGAATGAGGAATTAATGTTTAATGGGTACAGAGTTTCAATTATGCAAGATGAAAAAAAATTTGAAGACGAACGATGGTGATGGTTGCACCACAATGTGAATGGACTTCATGCCACTGAATCGTACACTTGACAATGGTTAGAATGATAAATTTTATGTTATATATGTTTTACCATAATTTTAGAAATTTGTTTTAAATATCCTTAAAGTAAGAGGAGGAAAACTGAAACCAAAAAATAAAGAAGGAAAAATGACAAGATCATATTCCCATTTTACAGAAATCACCCTAATTTCAGCATGGTAGAGGGATAGTAGGTAGGTGGGACTGGCAGTAACAGAGAAACCTGTTAGAAGACTATTACAAGAGTACAGTGAGGGATGAGGATGGCTGGAACTGAGCCAATGACAGTAGGAATGGAGTGGACACATTCAAGAGATATGTGGGAGATGACTTAAGATGTGGATGTTTAAAGGTAAAAGGTTGAGGATCATTTTACTGCTTTGGATACCTGAATGGATGGTGGTATCGTTCACTGAGTAAGAAAAAGGAGGAGAATAAACAGGCTTTACAGAGAAAGTGATAAGTCCAGCATTGGGCAGATTGAGTGTGAGATATCTATAGGACATGGAAGTGTGTATGTGGCTGGTAGACACTGCACATATTGGTCAGAGCTCAGAAGATAATTCCTGGGCTAAGGACATGGATCTGAGGCTTACATATAAATGACATCTGAATCCATGAGCATACATGAAATGGTTCAAGGAGTATGTAGGGACAGAACGGAAAGGAACCTAGTAAAGAAAAAACTAAAACCTAAACACTACCAATCTTTATGAATTGGATAGAGGGGGATCCTGCAAAGAAAATCGAGAAAAAGTAGCTAGATATAACAGGGAACTCAGAATATAGAATCATAGAAACAAAGAAAAACAATATTTCAGGAAAAAGAATATAGAGAACAGTATCAAAAGCTTCTGACAATATGTAATCTAAGGATTTAAAAGTATCCATTGGATAGAGTGCCAAGGAAGTCATTGGTGAACATGGCAAAGGAGTTTCAGTACAATGCAGTGGGAGGATTTGGGGCCAGATTCCAGAGGCTGAAGAGTGAAAGGAGGGAGACTGCCAGAATAGACAATCTTCAGAAAGTTTAGGTTATGAATAAGAGAGATAGACTGGGGACTGAATGGATTCAGGGAGAGAGGCACTATATTTTTTCAAATAGGAAAGTTTTGTTTGTGTTTAAATGCAAATAGGAAAGGAGAAGATGAAGATAGAGGAAAAAGTAAAAGGAGATAGGATTAATTTCAGATGGAGAGATCTTATAAGCACGCCTTGTAAAAGGAAGAAGAAGGAAGGATGAGTGGAAATGTGGGTGTTTAAAGCTTGCTTGTGTGTAGTTGGGGACATCCCCCCCCAAAAAAAATGAATTTTATTTTTTCTGTGGTATAGAAAGCAAAATCACCTTTCAAGAACGAGAAGAAAGGTAGGAGGCAGGGGATGGTCAAAAATTTGAGGAGGAAGAAGTTTCAATGACTATGTGGCAGAAATGGAGAGAGAACAAAAGTGATTAAAGAAATAGAGGAAAAGCTCAGCTGAAGTTGAAGCCTCTGAATCAGCGCCAGCCACTATCCACTTGGCTCTGCACCACTCTCCAAAGGTCTTCAACAGACCAGACTTAGGTTCAGAGAAGACAAACACACAGTGTCTTTCCCAGGCTGGTATAACAGGAGAACAGAGCATGAGAATAGAGAATCTGATAAGAGTGAAGTTGAAATAAAAAATCACAGAAACTAAAATAATGAGTAGAGGAAGAAAGGACTGTTAACTGTGGAGAAAGGGAATGGGATGGAGAGGGTCTCAGAAAGGGTGACATAGTGAGAGAAACTAACTCTCAAAACACAAAGTGAAGCAGTGAGGGTATTGTCTCTGTGATTTCAGAAGTAGAGCTATTCCAGGTGTTGAGAATGTCCCCAGTGTGGCCACAGAAGTGGGGACTGAAGTAAAGGACTTTGCCATGGAAGGTCAAGGAACTAAGTTCCTCAAGCTATGGCTGTTCGCATGGATGCTGAAGTAGCATAGCGTAGGGGAGAACTGTGAGCCGATGTCTTCAACGAATGAAGCTGAGTCAAGGAGAGGAGATGCTATGAGCCTAAGATTAGTAAGAATTCATAGTGGAAAACAGAAGATAAATGTTGCAGACCCCATATCCCAAACTTGGAAGAATGGAAAAGCCTAAACAGAAATAGGCTTGAGGGAGAGACAAATTTCATTAAAGACCTGGAGATAAGAATAGAGTTCTCAGAATGGGTTGAAGATGTAGTTTTGTTTCATAGCCTAAGGGTACAGTGATAAGCGTTGAAAGTCAGTAAAGTACTAGGGGGTTCAGTCAGCCAATTAGAAGCAAAAAGCACTTAAGAAAAAAAAGATTGCCTCAAGGGTTTACTCCACAGGCAATAACCAACAGATATAAAGGTGTACTACGTTTAGCAGCTGCCAACCTGATGCCAAAAGAACTAGTCCCAGCAGTTCCGAGGTGTTTAGAAGGAGTTTCAGATTCTTGGCAAAAGTTCAAGGTTAACTGGATTGCTTCATGGAGGGTCATAGTCCACATGAGCAGGCCAGGAGACACTGAGGGATTCACAGCAACAGCATGAGACACAGATGAGCCTAAAAACATTAGCCATCCACCTTCCACTCTTTACCATCTGCCAGCTTTCCTTCTTCAATCCTCTGCTATCTCACTGTCCATTCACCTTCAATCTCAAAAGCCATCGTTGAAATCTACAAACATCAGGCTATTCTGACTTGCTACATTGCCTCCACTAGGCCACCATATATAGCTGGAGTCAACCTCTATTTTCAGGTCAACCCTGGAGTCAACCTCTGATTTGCAGAATCCTGTTTCTAAATTTGTCTTTGGGTGGGTATCTTGCCAGAATTATGGAAGGAAAGTAATTTTTTAAAAATTGGCAAGGACAATTCCTTTGTATTTGTCAGTTATCGTGATCCCTGTCAAGCAAGAGGAATGTGGCTTTCAGCACTGACTTCTTAGAGTAATTCTCACAATAATCAGTAATGTCACCAATTATACTGAATGCTGAGATGGGAGAAATAAGCTAGCTAATCTCTGTCCCCACTGTTCAGGTTAAGACCAGCGCAAAATCCTGATAAGAATCAATACAGTTCTCAAAATATTCTGAATGAAGTTTTTGTTTAGACATGTTGGACCACTGTATCTCACAAATTATAAAAAGGAACTTTATCAATCTTGTCATTTGTCTCTTGAAAGATCCTCTTTTGCACTTAGTGCTTGATTTGGGTAAAGCTGTCTGTATGCTTTTGGTTTACTAATCTATAAATATGGAAGTCCATTTTAAAAGAAGGTATCTGGGGACTAAAACTGGTTCCTCCATTTAACCAAATATGAAAGACCAAATAAAGAAAAGAAATTGAATTACTGATATTTTGGTTCCCTGAGCTTGAACTTCAGTTACATTTATGATCTTGTGTTTTCTCTTATGGTTTGGATGTTTTTTGCTAAAATGATTTTATTAGACATGAACCAAATGTTTGCTTAGGAATTTTATGCCCAAACTTGTGCTGATTCTAAGGGAATTTTTTACAAGACTATGTTTTTTTTTTCCCTTAAAATATATTGTGTAAGCTTATGCAGCTGCTGAGTTCTGACTTTTTATGTTGTTATTTGTTACTACTTTTTTTTTTTTTTTTTTACCTCCTGCTTTTGAAACTGTAGCATGTGTGGAAGGAAGCAAGGAGTGCTAGAGCTTATTTTACATCCTCCTTTGAGGCAGTGTGGCAGCTTTTTTGTTACCTTAGGATGGAGTATAAGATTGGGAAAATCAAATGTACAACTTAAAACAGAGTCCAGAATCTGGTTTGTTGTTGTTGTTTTGCCATGCTTCTCTCTTTGTGAACTGATACTTGTACTCATTATCCTCATCTTGCTCAGTCAACAAATATTTCCTACCTGCAGTAGGCCAGACACCATTCTAGGCATGAGAGATACAGAGAGCAGCCAAGATCCCAGTTTCTGTTCTAGGAAAGAGAAATGGAAAATTAGTGAGAAAAAAATAAGTAAATTAATAAATGAATAATTTGAGTTGGTAAAAAGTCCAAAAAGAAAATGAAACAAGGTAATGGGAGAGACTGTCATCAATGAACACATCTTCCAGGAGACATTTGAGCTGGGATCTGAATGACCAAAATGAGCCAGCCATTCAAATACTTTGGAAATGAGTTTCCCAGGAAGTAAAGAGCAGCTAGATCACAGGTCCAAGTAGGGGAATGAGTTTGAAATGTCCAAAGGCCTGAAGAAGGCCAGGACCATAGTGAGGAAGGATGTTATTTTAATTACATGGAGAAATCATAAACGCAAACAGGGCAAGAGGGGTAGGAGGAAAGCCAATTAGGAGCCTACTGGAATAGGCCCGGGAAATACCAATGGTGGCTTAAACTAGAAGGAGGCAAAATTAGAAAGATGGAGAGAAGAGGACAAATCAGGGATATATTTTGGAAGAAAATCTGCTAGGACTTGCTAGAATAGATGTAAGGGATGATGATAAGGTAAAATTACTCCTAGGGTTATTTTTTTTTGCCTGAACCTCTTGGTGGATGGTTGTGCCTTAAAATGAGGAAGGCCAGGAAGCAGAAAGACATGTTGGAAGGTGAAAGAAAATTTAAAACTCATCTGGGTGTGTTGGCTCATGCCTGTAATCCCAGCACTTTGGGAGGCCTTGACCAGTGGATCACCTGAGGTCAGGAGTTCCAGACCAGCCTGGCCAACATGCTGCAAAAATTAGCTGAGTGTCATGGTGTAAGCCTGTAAATCCCAGCTACTTGGGAGGCTGAGGCATGAGAATCGCTTGAATCCAGGAGGCAGAGTTTGCAGTGAGCCGAGGTCGCCTCAGTGTACTCCAGCCTGTGCAACAGAGCAAGACTGTCAAAAAAAGGAAAGGAAAGGAGAGAGGAAGGGAGGCGAGGGGAGAAGGGAGGGAAAGGGGGAGGGGGAAAGGAAGTGGAAAGAAGGGAAGGAAGGAAGGAAATTAAATTTAAAATTCAGTTTTTTTTAGTGGTGATTTCTGAGATTTTAGTACACCTGTCACCTAAGAAATGTACACTGTACCCAATATGTAGTCTTTTATCCTTCACCCCCTCCCACCTTGAGTCCCCAAAGTCCATTATATCATTCTTATGCCTTTGTGTCCTCATAGCTCAGGTCCCACTTATAAGTGACAACATACAGTATTTGGTTTTCCATTCCTGAGTTACTTCACTTAGAATAATGGCCTCCAGACCCATCCAAGTTGCTGCAAAAGACATTATTTTATTCCTTTTTTATGGCTGAGTAGCACTCATGGTGTATATATACCACATCTTCTTTATCCACTCATTGGTTGATAGGTACTTATGTTGGTTCCATATTATTGCAACTGTGAATTGTACTGCTATAAACATGGGTGTGCATGTGTCTTTTTTATATAATGACTTTTTTTCCTTTGGGTAGATACCCAGTAGTGGGATTGCTAGATGGAATGGTAGTTCTGTTACCAGGGATGCTGCCTTGGGATGGATCCTTTAACCGAGATCAACAGAGCTGGAGCTCTGGACCAGCAATCTCAGTTCTTGTGATAGTGAGCAAAGAAATGCAAACTAACAGCAAAGTGCAAGCTCAAAGCAAAGTTCATTAAGGCACAGTAATACACTCTCAAAGGGAGAGTGGGCCAACTTCTACGAAGTGAAATCAGCCACTCTTTGCAGAGCTCAGGATGCTTTTATGGGAGGAGTTGAGGCCTGGGCTGTGTTTGAGTGACAGGATGATGTCATTTGATTGGCAGTTTATAGTTACATAGCTGAAGTTAAACTGAGCATGTTTTTACCGATCTTTCGTTAAGAAAAGCCCACTCAGAGGGGCAAAACCACAAGTAAATTTTACTATAATGACTGTATAATAAGGATGGGGTTCCCCAGGGTTATGGCCTAGATCAAGCTTGTCCAAATGTGGCCCAGGACAGCTTTGAATGTGGCCCAACACAAATTTGTAAGCTTTATTAAAACATTATGAGATTTTTTGCAATTTTTCTCTTTTTTCTTTTTTTTTGCTCATCAGCTATTGTTAGTGTTAGTGTATTTTATGCATGGCCCAAGATGATTCTTTCAATGTGGCCCAGGGAAGCCAAAAGCTTGGAAAACCCCTGGCCTAGATGGACGGGGCATGTGTCACATTAGGAAATTTTTATCTGTGCCCCAGTTTTTCTTTCCCCAGGATGTGCTGGCCACAGACTTTATCACAAATTCTGTCCATTAGGGTGGAGCTATGGTGATTTGGGGGCTGAATTTAGGTGGGCCAGGGCCTGTCTTAGTGACAGCCCTTCTGCTTTCTTCTCTCACCCCCTCCGAGCTGCTAATGTCTACCTAACTACCTAACAGCTCTACTTTTAGCTCTTTAAGGAATCTCCATACTGTTTTCCATAATGGTTGTACTAATTTACATTCCCACAAGCAGTGTAAAACTGTTCCCTTTTCACCACATCCACACCAACATCTATTGTTTTTTGACTTTTTAATTATGGCCATTCTTGTAGGAGTAAGGTGGTATCTCATTGTGGTTTTAATTTGCATTTCCCTGATGGTTAGGGATGTGGAGCATTTTTTCACATGTTTATTGGCTGTATCTCTTCTTTTGAGAACTGTCTATTCATATTCTTTGCCCACTTTTTGGTGGGATTATTTCTTAAAAACTCAGTTTTAAGCATGTTAAGTTTCAGTTGCCTAGTAGGCATCCAGTTGAGATGCTGAAGAGGCAGGAAACCATCCTGGTCTGGGTGCAGCTCCTGTCAGGGTATAGATTCAAAGTTCATCTAAATATAGACGGTCATTGAAGTCATGAGATTAGATGAGATCATCAAACGAGATAGAATAAATAAAAAAAAGAAAGAAAGATGGTTTAAGGACCAAGCCCTGGGGGCTGTTGTTTTCTCTTTCTGGAAACTTGAAATTTAAAAATAACATATTTTGTCAACATATTTTATCATATTTTATCAAAGAATTATGCAAGCACAAAGTTAGAGTTATAATAGATAACTGAGATATAAAAGAACCCTACAAAATGTGGTTGACAGTTCATGCGTGTGGTATTTGTTTGTGAAAACCCTGAGCTATGTATGGACCAATTCCCATGAAAACAAATAATGATGTTGCTTTATTACCACACATTGACCTTCAGCTAATCACAACCAGACCTGAAAAACACAAATGATTGCATTAGTTTCTTTGAACACTAGAGGGAGATAAAGTCACCTGTAAATCAGGAAAATAGAAAAATCCTTTTTTCCTACAGAACTACTCTTACCACAGAATCATAGAATATTTTAAAGTTTGATTATTTTTACAATCATCAAGAAATACAGTCATGTATTATAAAACTGGAACAAGCCAGGCACGGTGGGTCACTCCTGTAATCCCAGCACTTTGGGAGGCCAAGGCGGGCAGATCACCTGAGCTCAGGAGTTGGAGACCAGCCTGGGCAACATGGTGAGATCCTGTCTCTACAAAAAATACAAAACTTAGCCAGGCATGGTGGCAAGCACCTGTAGTCTCAGCTACTGGGAGGCTGGGGTGGGAAGATTGCTTAGGCTCAGGAGATTGAGGCTGTAGGCTGTAGTGAGCTGTGATCATGCCACTGCACTCCAGCCTGGGCAACCGAAGGAGACCCTGTCTCCAAAACAAAAAACACTGGAACAAATTACATATGTTTAGAAAGTAGCCTGACATATTTTTTAAATCAGGTTTTGCTAAAAGGCTTTTATATATGCTAATAATGTACTATATTTTCAGGTGATACCTTAGTCATTTTTCCCTTGGGCAATGCAAAGCAACAACATATAAACCAGCTAATTTTTATTTGAAGAAACAACTCTTCCTCCCTTGGAATTCCAGTAATAGGCTTACTGTAAGTCAAGTGTCCAAAGAATTGCCTCTCAACCTTATGTCTGTGGACTTTGAGAATGTGCTGTACTTCATCACGTTCCATGTTTTTCAGGTGGCTTAAAGGTCATGGGCACAGAGTTCATTCTGGACTTTTTATTTGCCCAATAAAATGCTTTTTGACTTTGCTAAGTAATCACATAGATATGTAGTGTTTTCATGATTGCTTGGGGCAACTAGAAAACTTTCTCTTTATTTACTTTGGTAATCTTTCTTAAAACATGCTAAAAAAAAAAAAAAAAGTCCTTTTTTCCAATCAAAGATTGAGTGTGAGCCCTATCCAACTGTTCCTACCCTACCGAATACTTTATTTGACCTTGTAACTAGCTTAATAAGTTCTCTTTTCCATAACCTCAACACTAAAGTGCTTCTGATAATTAAAGAGAAAAAAATATATTTTCTATCTCTAGGGGAGGATTATGGTGTAGGAAAAGAGACTGTTTTCTGGAATTAGAGTTGGTATAAATCCTGACTTTGTCTCTACTGGTTGGTGAAAGTGAAGAAGTTACTTTGCATCTGTAAACGACCATTTTCTTTTCTCTAAATTGGAATTGCAACCTTTTAGAATTGTTGTGAGCATTAATTCAGAGAATTATGAAAAGCAGCTAGCTTAGTTCCTAGCACAAAGCAGATATTCCAACTTCCCTGTGCCTTCCTCTTTCCTTCTATCTGAAATGCTTTATATTTTAAAATGGTTTTATAAATCATATGTTCATAGATTATGTGTTCTGAAGTATTTGTCAAGTGCTGGTGATAAGTGCAGAATGTGACCTGGGTCACATTTATAAGGCAGACTTGCAAAAGTACACGTGGTCAGAGCTGTATGGCCCTGTGCTCTACACAACTCTACACCACTAGGCCAGGTATAGAATCTCACCAAGGTCCTACACGGTCCATGATCAGCTACTCCTGAATATGGGCTTGGAAGAAGGGAGAGGAGAGGGAGGCCACTGCAAGTCAGGCAAGGGCTGTAGTCCCAGAAGAGAATAACTTCCCTTTTCCCTCCGTAAATGTAAATTCTACCTCCCCACCCCCATAAAGGTGCAGTTCAAATCCTCCTTTCCCCAAAAGACATTCCCAGCCTAACTGAAATCACCTTTACAAACACCTATAACATTTATCCAATTCAATCATCTGACAACACATTCTTTTCATTTCTACTTAATCATTTCATTTACCTGTATCTCTCTAACTAGGTAGGTTTTTAAAGCAGAAGTCATGCCCTATTTCATAGCTTTTCATTTTAGCACATTTCACAATGCTCCACTTGAAGCAGACGTTCAACACATACTTGAATGTATCTCCAGGTCAGTTTTCCTTCAATTTATTTTGTTGCATGCAGTTTGATAACAGAACTCATCAAGGGTATAAGTGTATAGATACAGATTGAATCATTTTGCTGATAGCATCTGAAAATTACCTTTTTCCTTAAAATTGTAGATTATTAAAAAGAAATAACTAAAATATATAACATATTAGGCTTCTATTTGTGTGGTTTACTCTGGTACTCATGCCATAGTTTTGTTTGTTTCACCATCCAGATCAAGGCCATGGTTTTTGCCGAGTTTCACTTTCAATTGGAACAGATTACAGTTGCCATGAAGTAATGGCCATCACCTACGATATAATGTAGCAAAGAGTATATGATAAATATTCATCACCAGTAGATCATTTTTCTTTGAAAATCCCTTAGTCAAATCTTATTATTGGTCATGAAATGTATGCATGATAATTTGACATCTGTAAATATAACTCCATTTTTATGATACAAAGAACTGAAGCAGAAACTGAAGTTTTATTATTTATCATTCAAACTGCAGAATAAAAGGGTGCTGAAGCTGGAATTTGAATGTTCCTCAATGTCATGAAGGATAAAAAATCAAACATGAAATGGATGATCTGTTTTCTGAGTGTCAAACTATAACACAAAAAAGTAGTAACCCTGGCTGGCCATGGTAGCCCATGCCTGTAATCCCAGCACTTTGGGAGGCCAAGGCAAGTGGGTCACTTGAGGTCAGGAGTTCAAGACCAGCTTGGCCAACATGGTAAAACTCCATCTCTACTAAAAATACAACAATTAGCCAGGCATGGTGGTGTGTGTCTGTAGTCCCAGCTACTCAGGAGGCTGAGGCAGGAGAATGGCTTGAACCCAGGAGGCAGAGGTTTCAGTGAGCCAAGATCACGCCACTGCACTCCAGACTGAGCAACTGAATGAGACTGTCTCAAGAAAAAAAAGAAAAGTAATAATCCTAAATTCTTACCGCTTGTTAGCAGCTCTGTGACCCACTTGCAGTGTGACTCCACTTTACAGTGGGCCCAGTTTTTCCCTAAGGAGCACCTAGGCAAGGTTGCATGTTCTTCAAGAAGACAATACAGGACTATACTTTCAAATAGTAAAAATTATAATGAAACAACATTATTTTCAAAATAATTGCCTGGTAATATATTTTCAAAAGAATACTCAGGTAATGAGATCTTAGATCACTGTAGTCTCAAACTCCTAAGTTCAAGCCATCCTCGCACATCAGCCTCCTGAGTAGTTGGGATTACAGATGTGCACCACCACACCAGGCTATGGCTACAAGTTTAAAATAAAAAATACATGCAGAAAAGAATATGGAAATAGACTCCTTCCCTTCTGCTTTTAATCATTCATGAGTTTCTTAGCTGCTAAAATATATGTTGAATAGACTTTTTTTTTTCTAATTCTACATCATTTTCTCCTTCCTTTCAAATCCCAAATCCTCAAATGAGTGGTCATTACCCACTTAGAATCTATTTCCCCACCATTTGATCTCTTTGGAAACCCTCTATAATCCAGCTTCTATTTCCACAGTCCGTTGAAATACACTTAATATTATTAATGTCCTTGACCCCCTTCTAATTTTTCTTAACTACTATTCAGAAGCTGATGTTGTCACCTCCTTCTTAAAATTACTCCTTTCTGGTCATTACTGTCTAGCCTCATTCCCCTAGTTCTCTCACACTTCCTTTTCTGGCTCTTCTTCCATTGCTGTTCCTCCTTTTCCAGATATCCCTTAAAGGCCTGGGGGAACTCTCTCCCTTCAGTTCTCAGCCAAGTGCTCATCTACTCTCAAAGTTTCATTTCTCACCTTGATGCTTATGGCTCCTGAGTTTGTGTTCCCTGCTGTGTTCTCTCTCACTTGGATGCCTTTCTTTTGTGTCCAATTACCTCCATGACTTTTCCCTCTAATTACTGTCCAAAACTACAGGTCTAAGACTGCTCTTTCCTCCCCACTTTTTTAATTTCACCTTCAGCCTCACCAGTATTCTAAGTTCAATATCTTGGGTTCATCTTGGTTTTTCTCTCTGTTCTTCAAATTCTACTCCAGTCATGATATGGTTTGGCTCTGTGTCCCCACCCAAATCTCATCTTGAATTGTACTCCCATAATTTTCACGTATTCTGGGAGGGAGCTGGTGGGAGATGATTTGAGTCATGGGAGCAGTTTCCCCATACTGTTCTCATGGTAGTGAATAAGTCTCACAAGATCTGATGGGTTTATCAGGGATTTCTACTTTTGCATCTTCCTCATTTTCCTCCTGCCGCCACCATGTAAGAAGTGTCTTTAGCCTCCCACCATGATTCTGAGGCCTCCCCAGCCATGTGGAACAGTAAGTCTAATTAAACCCCTTTTTCTTCCCAGTCCCGGGTATGTCTTTAATCCACAGTGTGAAAACAGACTAATACAGTAAACTGGTACCTAGAGTGAGTTGTTGCCAAAAAGATACCCGAAATGTGGAAGCAACTTTGGAGCTGGGTAACAGGCAGAGGCTGGAACAGTTTGGAGGGCTCAGAAAGACAGGAAAATTGGTAAAGTTTGGAACCTCCTAGAGATTTGTTGAATGACTATTACAAAAATGCTGATAGTGATATGAACAATAAGGTCCAGGCTGAGTTGGTCTCAGATGGAGTTGAAGAAGTTTTGGGAACTGGAGCAAAGGTGATCCTTGTTATGTTTTAGCAAAGAGACTCGTGGCATTTTGCCCTGCCCTACAGATTTGTGGAATTTTGAACTTGAAAGAGATGATTTAGGGTATTGGGCAAAGAAATTTCTAAACAGCAAAGCATTCAAAAGGTGACTTGGGTGCTGTTAAAAACATTCCATTTTAAAATGGAAACGGAGCATAAAAGTTCAGAAAATTTGCAGCCTGATGATACAGTAGAAAAGAAAAATGCATTTTTTGAAAAGAAATTCAAGCAGACTGCAGAAATTTGTGTAAGTAACAAGGAGTCAAATGTTAATCCCCAAGACAAGGGAGAAATTGTCTCCAGGACATGTCATAAGTCTCCATGGCAGCCCCTCCCACCACAGACCCAGAAGTCTAAGAGGAAAAAATGGTTTTGGGCTGGGCCCAGGGTCCCCATGCTGTCTGCAGCCTAGAAACTTGGTTCCCTGTGTTCCAGCTGCTCCAGCTGTTGCTAAAAGGGGCCAAGGTACAGCTCGGCCTATGGTTTCAGACAGTGCAAGCCCCAAACCTTGGCAGCTTCCACATGGTGTTGAGCCTGCGGGTGTACAGAAGTCAAAAATTGAGGCTTGGGAACCTCCACCCAGATTTCAGATGACTGGAAACGTCTGGATGCCCAGATAGAAGTTTGCTGCAGGGGTGGAGCCCTCAGGGGAACCTCTGCTAGGGCAGCATGGAAGGGAAATGTGGGATCAGAGCCCCCCCACACACAGAGTTCCTACTGGGGCACCACCTAGTGGAGCTATGAGAAGAGGGCCACCATCCTCCAGACCCCAGAATGGTAGGTCCACCAACAACGTGCACTGTATGCCTGGAAAAGCTGCAGACACTCAACATCAGCCCGTGAAAGCAGCCAGGAGTGGGGCTTTACCCTGCAAAGCCACAGAGGTGGACTGCTCAAGACTATGAGAACCCACCTCTTGCATCAGTGTGACCTGGATGTGAGACCTGGAGTTAAAGGAGATCATTTTGGAGCTTTAAAATTTTACTGCCCTGCTGGATTTTGGACCTGCATGGGCCCTGTAACCCCTTTGTTTTGTTCAATTTCTCCCATTTAGAATGCCTGTATTTACCCAATACCTGTACCCCCATTTATCTAGGAAGTATCTTGCTTTTGATTTTACAGGCTCATAGGCAGAAGGGACGTGCCTTGTCTCAGATGAGACTTTGGACTGTGGACTTTTGGGTTAATGCCAAAATGAGTTAAGACTTTGGGGGACTGTTGGGAAGGCATGATTGGTTTTGAAATGTGAGAACATGAGATTTGAGGGGGCAGTGACAGAATGATATGGTTTGGCTCTGTGTCCCCACCCAAATCTCATCTTGAATTCCACTCCCATAATTCCCATGTATTGTGGGAGGGACCTGGTGGGAGATAATTTGAATCATGGCGGTGGTTTCTCCCATAATGTTCCTGTGGTAGTAAATAAGTCTCACGAGATCTGATGGTTTTATCAGGGGTTTCTGCTTTTGCATCTTCCTCATTTTTCTCTTTCTGCTGCCATTTAAGAAGTCCTTTTCACCTCCTGCCATGATTCTGAAGCCTCCCGAACCATGCGGAACTGCAAGTCCTATTAAACTCTTTTACTTCACAGTCCTGAATATGTCTTTATCAGCAACATGAAAAAACAGACTAATACAAGTCATTAGTTCCTGATACTACTTTTTCATAGAAATGTCTTACAGATCATCCTTTCTTTCTAGTCCTATGTCACTTTTTAAATGTAGGCTCTGGACGCCTAGATAATTGTATGGGTCTTTGTCTCTTTTTTTTTTGTCCCCAGTCTATCCAATATACAGATTTAAATGCAGAAAACGTTAATATAATACAGAATGACTCCATCTCGGGTTTGCTGTGATCAAACCCCGTCTCGGAAGACTATCCATCAAGTCCTTCCTTGTCACCAACCAAGCTTTATCTCCCACAAACCTCTTCTATATGCACTCTCTGTATTACTTATCATAGAATCACTCCTCAGATTTTGATCCTCCACATTTTGACTGAATTTATTTTATTTATTTTATTTTTTTTTCGAGACAGAGTCTCACTCTGTTACACAGGCTGGAATGCAGTAGCATGATCTTGGCTCACTGCAACCTCCACTTCCCGGGTTCAAGTGATTCTCCTGCCTCAGCATCCCTAGTAGCTGGGACTAGAGGCACCTGCCATGACACCAAGCTAATTTTTGTATTTTTAGTAGAGATGGGTTTCACCATGTTGGCCAGGCTGGTCTTGAACTCCTGACCTTAAGGGATCTGCCCACCTCGGCCTCCCAAAGTGCTGGGATTATAGGCATGAACCACCACACCCAGGCGGCTGAGTTTACTTTTACTTTTCCTCTGTATTTTTCTTTGTCTAATTTTATCACAACCCAACTTAAAGGCACTCCGTCTATTAAGCTTTTACTCAAACATCCAACAAAGATCTATTCTTTTTTAACAAGAATTCACACAGTATAACCCTCTAATGTAATGTATTAACCATTACAGTTTGCATGGATGCTACTCTCCTTTTCCTTTTATTGTTTTCTTTTTCCATTTTTACTTATTCTTTAAGTTCTAGTTCAAAGATCATCTTCTGTACAAGGTCTTCTCTCATCATCCCAGGCACTAGAGACCCCCAAATGTGCCTGGCATAGTTTTAGACATGTAATTGAAAAGATGTAAAAATCTTCCAATTGTTCTATTTTTTTTTTTAAGAATGACCTCAATGAAACTAATTGCCTTCTCAGACCCAAAGGGTACATACATAAATTAATAGGGAAAGATAATATTTTTCTAGGTTAAGCCATTGGTATTATTATTAGAAGCAATAAATAGAAATGAACTCCCAGAGCTATTCTGTTTTCAGTGGAATTAAGCAATAGCTTATCTCTATAGCCTGAGATACTATCACTATCATCTATGTAATAATCATTAATTTTGTGTTTATAACCATTTTTCTAATTACAAAAATAATGAATTGATACTGTAACAATGGATATAGTTCAATATACATTTGTCAAAACCATAGAATGTACAACACAAAGTGTAAACCTTAATGTAAGCTACAGACTTTAGTTAATAATGTATCAATATTTGCTCATTACTGTAACAACTATATGACACTAATACTAGTATTATTGATAATGGAATCTGGGGTGGGGGAAGTGAAGGGGAATATGGGAACTCTCTGTACTTTCCACTTAATTTTTCTGTAAACCTAAAACTGTTCAAAAGATAAAATATATTAAAAATAATAACATGTTTATAAAATTTGGGTGATCATGATATGCCAGTATAGGTTGATCAGTTGTAACAAACATGCAACTCTGTGGGCAGTGTTGATAATTGGGAGCCATGCCTGCGGGTGGGAGGAGGTGGTGGTGCATATGGAAGTCTGTGTACCCATCTGCTCAATTTTGCTGTAAAGCTAAAACTCCTCTTAAAATAATAAAGTCTAACAAACATTTTTAAGCAATGTACAAACCTAAAAAAATGTTTATTGTAGAAAATGCATAATGGTATACAAAAAAGCAAAAAGAAGAAAGTAAAAATTACCTTTAAGCCTACTTTCTCTATTACTGGATGATACCACATCCATTACTAATGTGTGACTTGTTATTTCTATATAATAATATCGTAACTATTTTCTCTGTCATTAAATGCTATCTTCCAACGAAATATTTAATAATCATATGCTTTAAACTTCTTTATCTTGATGTAAATAAAATTTCTAAGCTTTCCTTTGACTTGAACTTCTGCAGCCTGAATAAACTCATTTTGTTTTCGTTTTCCTTTTCCCCCAAGACAGGCTTCTCACTCTGCCGCTCAGGCTGCAGTGCAGTGGTGTGATCATAGCTCATTGCAACCTCGACTTCCTGGGCTCAAGTGATTCTCCGACCTCCACCTCCTGAGTAGCTGGGATCACAGGCATGTGCCACCATGCCCAGCTAATATTTTTATTTTTTGTAGAGATGAGGTCTCCCTGTATTGCCCGGGCTGGTCTCTAACTCCTGACCTTAAGCAATTCTCCTGCCTTAGTCTCCCAAAATGCTGAGATTACAGGTGTGAGCCACCATGGCAGGCCTAAACTCATTTCTTTTACTACTTTTGAAACCAACATCATTTTTTTCTTGGTACTTACTTCTGAGATCTTAATATTGCTTTCTCAGGATGCTTTAGAACAAGTAATGTACAATATCTTCTGACTTTCTATATCATAGTTTCTTCACACAGTTCTTCACATAGTTCTTCACACAGAATTCTTTTTCTTGTACTAGGGTTTCTCTTCTGAACACATTAGATTATTAGCCACGAATAGTTTTTTTGTTGTTGTTGTTTTGTTTGTTTGTTTGTTTTTGAGACGGAGTCTCACTTTGTTGCCCAGGCTGGAGTGCAATGGCACGATCTCGGCTCACTGCAACCTCCACTTCCTGGGTTCAAGCAATTCTCCTGCCTCAGCCTCCCGAGTAGCTGGGACTACAGTCGCATGCCACCACACCTGGCTAATTTTTGTATTTTTAGTAGAGACAAGGTTTCACCATATTGGTCAGGTGGTCTCGAACTCCTGACCTCAGGTGATCCCCCTGCCTCGGCCTCCCAAAGTGTTGGGATTGCAGGTGTGAGCCACTGCACCCAGCCAGGTGGTAAGTTCTTTTTTTTTTCTCCACAAACGGTTTTAAAATTTAAAGCAGCATGCATTCTGTTATATAGCACATTGATGATTAATAAGAACATATATCAAAGTATTCCCACAACTCTAAGATATTTTTCCACCTGATGCATAATTTCCATAACATATGATATGTTCCTGGCTTTACTACTTGGATTTATTTAAGCCAGATTCCTGGGGTTGGAGGCTGGCTAGAAATAGCACTATACAGATTCTGTCTGTAAGAACATCATACAGCATACCTGAAGAGATACACATGGATTGAAGTGGTCCAAGTGATGGGCCAAAAGTATCCATTAGTTCTGGCTTGTATTGTTACTGAGAAGTGTCAATCTAAAAGGAAAAAACTGAGGACAAATTAATAAAGAGTTTATTTAAGCCAAGTTTGAGCACTGCAACCCAGGAGCCTAGGGATTCAAGTTGCTCAAATATATGCTCTGGTTAGCAGCAGTTACAGCAATTACAAGTGGTTATATATATATATATATTTTTTAGAGACAAGGTCTGGCTCTGTGCCCAGACTGAAGTACAGTGGTGCAATCATAGCTCACTGCAGCCTTGACCTCATGGGCTCAAGTGATCCCTGTGCCTCAGCCTCCTGAGTAGTTAGGACAACAGGCACAAACATGCCACCATGCCCAGTCGGGAAAAAAATACCTTTAAACAGTCATGCCTGCACATGGATGCAGGAAGGGATTGAGGTGTGTGGCTGAAGTCCCATACTCCTGTCTCTCTGGGCCTGACGAATTGTGCACACCTCACAGAGCTCAGACTGCTCTGAGCTGTATTTCTTTTCTCAGAAGTCAGCAATTATTCTTGATATTGTTTACCTCTACGTAATGTGCCTTTTTTCTGGTTGCTTTTAATATTTTCTCTTTATCATCGACTTTTAGCAGTTTGATTATAAGATGATGCAGTTTTGTGTTCATCTTGCTTCATATTCATCAATTTTATTACATTATATTTTTCATTCAATTTGGAAAATATTGGACCAATATTTCTTTAAATGTTTCTCTGCTCCAATCTGTTCCTTCTCCTTCCTCCTGATTATCTATCTATCATATATATATATATATATATATATATATATATATAGAGAGAGAGAGAGAGAGAGAGAGAGAGAGAGAGAGAGACTTCATATGTTTCATGGGTCGCTGAGGCTTCATTCACTTTTTTTTCAATCTTTCCCTTCTCTGCTTCAGTTTTCCATAGTTCTTGTGGCCTGTCTTCAAGTTTTTGCTTCAGTAATGGTAAACCTATCTTGTGATATTTTCATTTTATATGCCATATTTTTCAGTATTATAATTTCTATTTGCTTCTTTTTTTAAAGATTTCATTTCTCTGTTGAAATACTCTGTTTTCTCAATATGTTCATGTTTTTCTTTAAATATTTGAATATCTTGAGGTTCCAAGATGGCCGAATAGGAACAGCTCCAGTCTGCAGCTCCCAGCATGAGCGACACAGAAGACAAGTGATTTCTGCATTTCCAACTGAGGTACTGGGTTCATCTCACTGGGGCTTGTCAGACAGTGGGTGCAGCCCACGGAGCAGGGCGGGACATCGCCTCACCTGAGAAGCACAAGGGGTTAGGGAATTCCCTTTCCTAGCAAAGGGAAGCCGTGACAGATGGTACCTGGAAAATTGGGACACTCTCACCCGAATACTGCACTTTTCCAATGGCCTTAGCACACCAGGAGATTATATCCCGTGCATGGCTTGGAGGGTCCCACACCCACAGAGCCTCACTCATTGCTAGCACAGCAGTCTGAGATAAAACTGCAAGGCAGCAGCAAGGCTGGGGGAGGGGTGTCCACCATTGCTGAGGCTTGAGTAGGTAAACAAAAGCTGCCAGGAAGCTCGAACTGGGTGGAGCCCACCACAGCTCAAGGAGACCTGCCTGCCTCTGTGGACTCCACCTCTGGGGGCAGGGCATAGCTGAACAAAAGGCAGCAGAAACTTCTGCAGACTTAAACGTCCCTGTCTGATACCTTTGAAGAGAGTAGTGGTTCTCCCAGCATGGAGTCTGAGATCTGAGAACGGACAGACTGCCTCCTCAAGTGGGTCCCTGACCCCCAAGTAGCCTAACTGGGAGACACCTCCCAGTAGGGGCCGACTGATACCTCATACAGCCGGGTGCCCCTCTGTGATGAAGCTTCCAGAGGAAGGATCAGGCAGCAACATCTGCCGTTCTGCAGTATTTGCTGTTGTGCAGCCTCCGCTGGTGATACCCAGGCAAATAGGGTCTGGAGTGGACCTCCAGCAAACTCCAACAGACCTGCAGCTGAGGGTCCTGACTGTTAGAAGGAAAACTAACAAACAGAAAGGACATCCACACCAAAACCCCATCTGTACATCACCATCATCAAAGACCAAAGGTAGATAAAACCACAAAGATGGGGAGAAACTAGAGCAGAAAAGCTGAAAATTCTAAAAATCAGAGCACCTCTTCTCCTCCAAAGGAACACAGCTCCTCACCAGCAATGGAACAAAGCTGGATGGAGAATGACTTTGATGAGTTGAGAGAAGACAGCTTCAGACAATCGATAATAACAAACTTCTCTGAGCTAAAGGAGGATGTTCGAACCCATCGCAAAGAAGCTAAAAACCTTGGAAAAAAGATTAGATGAATAGCTAACTAGAATAACCAGTGTAGAGAACTCCTTAAATGACCTGATGGAGCTGAAAACCATGGCACGAGAACTACGTGATGCATGCACAAGCCTCAGTAGCTGATTTGATCAAGTGGAAGAAAGGGTATCAGTGATTCAAGATCAAATGAATGAAATGAAGCAAGAAGAGAAGTTTAGACAAAAAAGAGTAAAAAGAAATGAACAAAGCCTCCAAGAATTATGGGACTATGTGAAAAAACCAAATCTACGTCAGATTGGTGTACCTGAAAGTGACAGGGAGAATGGAACCAAGTTGGAAAACACTCTTCAGGATATTATCCAGGAGAACTTCCCCAACCTAGTGAGGCAGGCAACATTCAAATTCAGGAAATACAGAGAACACCACAAAGATACTCCTCAAAAAGAGCAACTCCAAGACACATAATTGTCAGATACACCAAAGTTGAAATGAAGGAAACAATGTTAAGGGCAGCCAGAGAGAAAGGTTGGGTTACCCACAAAGGGAAGCCCATCAGACTAACAGTGGATCCCTCGGCAGAAACTCTACAAGCCAGAAGAGCGTAGGGGCCAATATTCAACATTCTTAAAGAAAGAATTTTAAACCCAGAATTTCATATCCAGCCAAACTAAGCTTCATAAGTGAAGGAAAAATAAAATCCTTTACAGAAAAACAAATGCTGAGAGATTTTATCATCACCAGGCCTGCCCTAAAAGAGCTCCTGAAGGAAGCACTAAACATGGAAAGGAACAACCGGTACCAGCCACTGCAAAAACATGCCAAATTGTAAAGACCATTGATGCTAGGAAGAAACTGCATCAACTAACAAGGAAAATAACCAGCTAACATCATAATGACAGGATCAAATTCACACATAACAATATTAACCTTAAATGTAAATGGGCTAAATGCTCCAATTAAAAGACATAGACTGGCAAATTGGATAAAGAGTCAAGACCCATCAGTGTGCTGTATTCAGGAAACCCATCTCATGTGCAGAGACACACATAGGCTCAAAATAAAGGGATGGAGGAAGATTTACCAAGCAAATGGAAAACAAAACAAAACAAAAAAGCAGGGATTGCAATCCTAGTCTCTGATAAAACAGACTTTAAACCAACAAAGATCAGAAGAGACAAAGAAGGCCATTACATAATGGTAAAGGGATCAATTCAACAAGAAGAGCTAACTATCCTAAATATATATGCACCCAATACAGGAGCACCAAGATTCATAAAGCAAGTCCTTAGAGACCTACAACGAGACTTAGACTCCCACACAATACTAATGGGAGACTTTAACACCCCACTGTCAACATTAGACAGATCAACGAGACAGAAAGTTAACAAGGATATCCAGGAATTGAACTCAGCTCTGCACCAAGCGGACCTAATAGACATCTACAGAACTCTCCACCCCAGATCAACAGAATATACATTCTTTTCAGCATCACACCACACCTATTCCAAAATTGACCACATAGTTGGAAGTAAAGCACTCCTCAGCAAATGTAAAAGAACAGAAATTATAACAAACTATCTCTCAGACCACAGTGCAATCAAACTAGAACTCAGGATTAAGAAACTCACTCAAAACCACTCAACTACATGGAAACTCAACAACCTGCTCCTGAATGACTACTGGGTACATAACGAAATGAAGGCAGAAATAAAGATGTTCTTTGAAACAAACAAGAACAAAGACACAACATACCAGAATCTCTGGGACACATTCAAAGCAGTGTGTAGAGGGAAATTTATAGCACTAAATGCCCACAAGAGAAAGCAGGAAAGATCGAAAATTGACATCCTAACATCACAATTAAAAGAACTAGAGAAGCAAGAGCAAACACATTCAAAAGCTAGCAGAAGGCAAGAAATAACTAAGATCAGAGCAGAACTGAAGGAAATAGAGACACAAAAACCCTTCGAAAATCAATGAATCCAGGAGCTAGTTTTTTGAAAATATCAACAAAATTGATAGACCACTAGCAAGACTAATAAAGAAAAGAGAGAAGAATCAAATAGATGCAATAAAAAATGATAAAGGGGATATCACCACCGATCCCACAGAAATACAAACTACCATCAGAGAATACTATAAACACCTCTATGCAAATAAACTAGAAAATCTAGAAGAAATGGATAAATTCCTCGACACATACACCCTCCCAAGACTAAACCAGGAAGAAGTTGAATCTCTGAATAGGCCAATAACAGGCTCTGAAATTGAGACAATAATAGCTTACCAACCAATAAAAGTCCAGGACCAGACAGATTCACAGCTGAATTCTACCAGTGGTACAAAGACGAGCTGGTACCATTCCTTCTGAAACTATTTCAATCAATAGAAAAAGAGGGAATCCTCCCTAACTCATTTTATGAGGCCAGCATCATCCTGATACCAAAGCCTGGCAGAGACACAACAAAAAAAGAGAATTTTAGACCAATATCCCTGATGAACATCGATGCAAAAATCCTCAATAAAATACTGGCAAACCGAATCCAGCAGCACATCAAAAAGCTTATCCACCATGATCAAGTGGGCTTCATCCCTGGGATGCAAGTCTGGTTTAACATATGCAAATCAAAAAATGTAATCCATCATATAAACAGAATCAAAGACGAAAACCACATGATTATCTCGATAGATGCAGAAAAGGCCTACAACAAAATTCAACAGCACTTCATGCTAAAAACTCTCAATAAACTAGGTATTGATGGGACGTATCTCAAAATAATAAGACCTATTTATGACAAACCCACAGCCAATATCATACTGAATGGGCAAAAACTGGAAGCATTCCCTTTGAAAACTGGCACAGGACAGGGATGCCCTCTCTCACCACTCCTATTCAACATAGTGTTGGAAGTTCTGGCCAGGGCAATCAGGCAAGAGAAAGAAATAAAGGGTATTCAATTAGGAAAAGAGAAAGTCAAATTGTCCCTGTTTGCAGATGACATGATTGTATATCTAGAAAATCCCATCGTCTCGGCCCAAAATCTCCTTAAGCTGATAAGCAACTTCAGCAAAATCTCAGGATACAAAATCAATGTGCAAAAATCACAAGCATTCCTCTACACCAATAACAGACAAACAGAGAGCCAAATCATGGGTGAACTTCCATTCACAATTGCTTCAAAGAGAATAAAATACCTAGGAATCCAACTTACAAGGGATGTGAAGGACCTCTTTAAGGAGAACTACAAATCACTGCTCAACAAAATAAAAGAGGACACAAACAAATGCAAGAACATTCCATGCTCATGGATAGGAAGAAACAATATTGTGAAAATGGCCATACTGCCCAAGGTAATTTATAGATTCAATACCATCCCCATCAAGCTACTAATGACTTTCTTCACAGAATTGGAAAAAACTATTAAAGTTCATATGGAGCCAAAAAAGAGCCCACATTGCCAAGACAATCCTAAGCCAAAAGAACAAAGCTGGAGGCATCACACTACCTGACTTCAAACTATACTACAAGGCTACAGTAACCAAAACAGCATGGTACTGGTACCAAAACAGAGATATAGACCAATGGAACAGAGTAGAGGCCCTAGAAATAATACCACATCTCTACAACCATCTGATATTTGACAAACCTGACAGAAAACAAGAAATAGGGAAAGGATTCCCTATTTCATAAATGGTGCTGGGAAAACTGGCTAGCCATATGTAGAAAGCTGAAACTGGATCCCTTCCTTACATCTTATACAAAAATTAATTCAAGATGGATTAAAGACTTAAATGTTAGACGTAAAACCATAAAAACCCTAGAAGAAAACCTAGGCAATACCATTCAGGACAAAGGCATGGGCAAGGACTTCATAACTAAAACACCAAAAGCAATGGCAACAAAACCCAAACAAATGGGATCTAATTAAACTAAAGAGCTTCTGCACAGCAAAAGAAACTACCATCAGAGTGAACAGGCAACCTACAGAATGGGAGAAAATTTTTACAATCTACCTATCCGACAAAGGGCTAATATCCAGAATCTACAAAGAACTTAAACAAATTTACAAGAAAAAATCAACCCCATCAAAAAGTGGGCAAAGGGTATGAACAGACACTTTTCAAAAGAAGACATTTATGCAGCCAACAGACACATTAAAAAATGCTCATCATCACTGGCCATCAGAGAAATGCAAATCAAAACCACAATGAGATACCATCTCACACCAGTTAGAATGGTAATCATTAAAAAGTCAGGAAACAACAGGTGCTGGAGAGGATGTGGAGAAATAGGAACGCTTTTAACTGTTGGTGGGACTGTAAACTAGTTCAACCATTGTGGAAGACAGTGTGGCGATTCCTCAAGGATCTAGAACTAGAACTACCAATTGACCCAGCCATCCCATTGCTGGGCATATACCCAAAGGATTATAAATCATGCTACCATAAGGACACATGCACATTTATGTTTATTAAGACACTATTCACAATAGCAAAGATGTGGAACCAACCCAAATGTCCAACAATGATAGACTGGATTAAGAAAATGTGGCACATATACACCATGGAATACTATGCAGCCATAAAAAAGGATGAGTTCATGTCCTTTGTAGGGACATGGATGAAGCTGGAAACCATCATTCTCAGCAAACTATTGCAAGGACAGAAAACCAAACACTGCATGCTCTCACTCATAGGTGGGGATTGAAAAATGAGAACACGTGGACAAAGGAAGGGGAACATCACACACCGGGGCCTGTTGTGGGGTGGGGGAAGGGAGTAGGGATAGCATTCGGAGATATACCTAATGTAAATAACGAGTTAATGGGTGCAGCACACCAACATGGCACATATATACATATGTAACAAACCTGCATGTTGTACACATGTACCCTAGAACTTAAAGCATAATATAAAAGAAAAAGAATATTCAGCACCCCAAAGGTACAATCCACAAATTCTGGCATCCAATAAAAAATTATTAGCATGCAAATAAATAAATATTTGAATATCTTTATCATAGTGGTTCTAAAATCCTATCTACTAATTTCACCATCAGGGTTATTTCTTGTTCTATTTCTATAGGCAGGTTTATTTTCTCCTACTGAATATTTGGGATTGGCACACTTGGCAGTTAGCATAACCTCACATTGGGCTATCATAGTGTAGATGGCCAGGTGGAAGCGTCTAGAACTTTCCACATCCCCAGCCAAGAAGGATTATCAAAACCAGTATTACATCCTGGGTTAGGGAGACAGTATGGGGGCAGATGGCAGAAATTAATATCATTCATAAGTATCTAAGGGGAGGCCGGGCACGGTGGCTCACGCCTGTAATCCCAGCACTTTGGAAGGTTGAGGTGGGCAAATCACTTGAGGTCAGGTGTTCGAGACCAGCCTCGCCAACATGTGAAAACCTGTCTCTACTAAAAAATACAAAAGTTAGCTGGGTGTGATGGTGCGTGCCTTTAGTCCCAGCTACTCGGGAGGCTGAGGCACAAGAATCACTTGAACCCAGGAGGCGGCAGTGAGCCAGGACGGCACCACTGCACTCCAGCCTGACTCTGTCTCTGTCTCTCTCTCTCTCTATCTCACACACACACACACACACACACACACACACACTCACACACACACACACACACACACACAAAGTATCTAAAGGGAAAATACTTTTGTCAGGGCTCGCATTAAGAATTCCATTGAATTATAAGCTATGGCTTCTGCCTTGGTACTTGGGCAAAAATGAAATGTGTGAAGATTCAAAAGAGGGGCATAAATATAATTGCAGTTGGCATTGAGACATAAGAAAATATAAATAACTTTGTGTCCACATGTTTAAAAACCTAATGATATGAACAAATTCTTAGAAAACATAACTTACCAAAACAGACTCAAGAATAAATAGAACATCTGAATGCTCTTATAATCATTTTTGCTATTGAATCGGTTGTTTTTAAAAGTTTAACTGAATCTGCCTCCTTATGTATTTTAAGTTCAGCGTAAAGGTTTCTCTGTACATAGTAAACTGTAACCTAACTGGATGGGTAAACAAATTGTAACCTGCTCTTGTGTTCAACTGCCAAGCTGTAATCAATCTGGGTGTTTCTGTACCTCTCTTCCATTTTCTGTATATAACTTTCCTTTTACTGTCCGTAAATATTTTTCAACCAAACAGCAGCACCGGAGTCTCTCTGAACCTGTTCTGGTTCAGGGCTTTCTGATTTGTGAATTATTCTTTGCTGCATTAAATCCCATTAAATTTAATTTGTTTAAAGTTTTTCTTTTAACATGGTAATTAAGAGACTTCTCAAAAGTAAACTCCAGCTCAGAAAGTTCTATATATGAATTCAATGAAACATTCAAGGAACATACATATTCTTAAACTCTTTTTAAGACTAGAAAAAGAGAAAATATCCCAAACTAATTTAATAAGCCCAATTGAACCTTGCTAACAAAATTAGACAATGACAATATCAACAAGGAAAACTATAGGCCATTTTTACTATGTGAAAATCCAAAACAAGGTATTAGTATACCAAATCAAATAGTATATAAAATATAAGCAGTTAAAGAATGAAAGAACCGTTTAAGATTTTTAAAAATATATGAATATAATTTACCCTTTTATTACTGCATAATAAAAAACTTATTTGCCTTTGTCTCAGATTACTAGCACAGAGCTCCTAAAACCCTTGGATTTTCCTGAGGGACAGAGTGTCTTTTGTTATTCATAACGAGCTTGTTTCCATCATACCTGAGTTCATGCTGAGGTGACTCAAGGCAGGGCCCCTAGATAGCTTCAGGATGGGAGCTTATCATCAGAAAGACAAAGCTTGGGATCTGAGCGTTACAACTTTCAGCCTTACACACTCACCCACTCAGCCGCCCCACTTTTGGGGAGGAGAGGGAGGCTGGAGATTGTTGAATCGCCACTGGCCAATGATTTAGTCAATCATGTGTATGTAATGAAACCTTGATTAAACACTTTGAACAAGAGGCTCTGGAAGCCTCCAGGTGGGGGAACACATCAATGTGCTGGGATGATGGTGCACACAGAGCACATGTAAGCTCTGTGTCTTCCCTGGCCCCACCTACACACACTCAATACCTGGCCCTACTCCTGTCTTCCATTTGGCTGTTTCTGAATTGTATTCTTTATAATAAAACCATAATCATAATTATAAAGCTTTCCTAAGCTCTGTGAGTCATTCTAGTGACTTATTAAACCTGAGCGGAGGTCATAGGGAACCCCAAATGGATAGCTGGTCAGTCAGAAGTATGCATAACCTCCAGGTCTTACCACCAGTGTCTGAAATGAGGGTGGTCTTGGGGGACTGAGCCCTTAACCTGTGGAATCTGCACTCATTCTGGGTTGTGTCAGAACTGAACTACATTATAGGACACCCAGTTGCTGTCAGAGAATCAAGGAATTATTGGAAAGACACTTCACTGGTTAACAAATTAAAAAAGAAAAATTACGTGATCATCACAAAAAGTACAATAAGAAAACAGGTGGCAGATCCTTTAGGGCTGACCTTGCCAATCAGCTTGCCCAGATCCCGTATCTATGTACATAGTGTACCACAACCTTTGGTTACAAGTGAACCAAGTCCGTGAAGGGCTTCTGAAAGCCAGAGCCCCTAAGCTAACTTCTCTAACTTCAAGCTGACTCATCCATTTTTTTCTACTATCGTGTATGATTATTATACTTTTCTACATGTGCTGTCATGTGACAGTTACAGGTTTATAAAAGTAGATGAGCTTTTTATTTCTACTATCGTGTATGATTATTATAATTTTCTACACATGCTGTCATATGAAAGTTACAGGTTTTTAAAAGTAGATGAGCTTCGCTCAGAGAGGTAACTCTTTTGTCCTGTTGTTCTACCCTCTAATAATTGCTATGTAAGATCTATTGGTTTCATTTGACTAGAGCTTATCTATTTAAAACTTTTTAAACCTGTAATTACTAGGAATTTCTCTTTTCTTCTCTCCATGTCCCAAATTAATGTGACACAAGAATCATGGGTAAAAGTACCCCAAACTTACCTTGATTGGGCTGAATCAAGGCAAAGATTGAGGAAGTGGAGTATTAGCATGTCTATTTGACCACTTACATAGTCATACCCTGCAATATAATTGTTCTCAGTAATCAAACTGATATTTTTGTCTCCATTGGTTTGAGTGCTACAGAACCTAAGAGGGAAAGAACTATTTTACTTATTAATCTTTTAATATGCCAATACATATAATTTTTAAAATAAGGGATTATTCTGACTTAAAATAAATAGATGAGACAAAAAGAAATGCAGGTTCCCCAATAATTTGCAAACTATTCACCTATTGCAAATATTTCCATAAATAGCCCCCTCTTCTGCTCTTGTTCTCTCTAATTTATGACTGGAAAATCTCCTTGAAAACTCTTTCATTTACCAACTCCAAGCTAAGCCTCCTGCCCTCCTCTCTTCTGCCTTATACTGACCTGTGACCAGTGTCAGATGGGCCTCTTAGAGCAAACCTTTCTGCTCTTCCTTCACCCTCTCCACTGTCTTCACACACTGTCCATGTGGAATCTTTCTTTCTTAAAGGGCATAGATAATGACTGTGCCCCATGAACTGAAGTCATGGTTGGTGAGTTTTCAGCCTCCATTTTTTTCAGTTTTTCAATTGCTGTTGGCCAGGAGCCCCTTCCAAAAATCAACACATCATGCCTCTATTCTGGAATAAGCATCTTCCAGGTAACCCTCAAATGGATCATATTTTGAGAATTGCAGGCTCACTTCAGTTAGCACGGCATTAGCAAGCTATTCTCTTTCTATCTTCTTCAGAGGTGTTTATTCAGTGGCTCCTGTCTGTGAAGGGTGTCTTCAATCTGCAGTCTGAAGGAAAGAATCTCCACCAGCCATATTTTTGCCAATGCTTGTCCCATTGTTTCTTCCTTGCCACTCCTCCAAAACACACACATACATTCTATACCTCTACTAGCACCCACTATAATCACTGTTTCTACATTCACAGATGCAAAATGCCTTTATGTTCAGAGATGGTTAACATTTTCTTTTTGTCACAAAATCTGTAGGTTGCTTTTTGGATTTTTAGTAATAATCTTACATAGAATACACTTACATAGGACATGGTTCCTAGCCAAAGACATCCAAAAGGTTTGCTCAAAAACATGTCTTGTTGGGTCAGCCTTTATTAAATCCTCCCCAGGAGCCGATATTTTGGGAACAAAATATTACTGGTAAAGAGAAGCATGTGAAGTTTCCAAAAGCAAAAGTGTCTGTAACCAATGAACAGATAAAATTTCAAGGCCTATACAGTAAAGCAGCTGTTAGATGATTTACTGGAAAATTCCTCCAAAACATAATAGAGGCTGCCCACTACAAAGGAAATATTTTTCCTTCAAGTGCATAATATTCAAGTTCAATATGTTATGTACTCAAATTACCTCTCTATTAAAATCTGGGGTTTTCACGATAACCTCCACCATGGGGACTTGATTCTCATTCCATCCCAATGAAAAGCCAGGACAGCACTGGTTGGTGTGAGATTCATGAGGTGAGTTCCAAACTCCAGAGACTCATTCCTTTTGTGCAGCTTCCAGTATCAATAACACAGGATAGGACTTCATTTCCCAGGCATATAAGTGACTCACACTAAACTAGACAAATTCGATAACCTCTCACTTTCATTTAGAGAAATGATCATAAAGCTGCCAGTGGGGCACCATGTGATTTTCAAGGCGGGCAGCACAATTGCAAAACAATACTTGCAGGAATCATAGAGGAAGAGAACAATTGTTTCCAGCACCTCCCTTATCTCACTATATGGACAGACAGTGCATAGAGGGACATTCTCAGATGCCACAGCACTTGAGTGTTTTGGTAAAGTCCTGATGGAGACCAGGGAAAGCGGCAAGAGAGTGAGGTGTGCAGCACACAGCACAGTCACTGCTCCACAGCACCAGAGATCTGGAGGCACACGTGGAACCAAATGGGCCAAAAAAAAAAAAAAAAAAAAAAAAGGAATTCATAGTCCTCAGGCCAAGAATTCTCCATTTAACCTCATTCTTGACTCTGCCAACCCACGCGATCATTTATTAGGAGTTAACAGAAACCTTTAGGGAGAGATTTGTTAAGGGTTACAGAATCAGAGCAAGGGAGGAGGAATACGTTTCTAGTGTTCTATACCACTGTAGGACTACTACAGTTAACAATATGTAGTTTCAAATAGCTAGAAGGAAGGATATTGAATGTTCCCAACACAAAGAAATGATAAATGTTTGAGATAATGGATATGCTAATTACCCTGATCTAATCATCATACATTATATGTATCAAAACATCCTTACATACCCCATGAATATGTACAATTATTATGTGTAAATTAAGAAAGAAAGAAATCTCTTGGACTCCATGTAATGTATTTACGCACAGAACACATTCTGGCTCAAACTAGGAGGTGGAGGTCTCCAACTGTACAAAGGGCACTATTGCACTTACTAGGGGTAAGGATTAGAGCTTTCGATCTACACAGGAAAAGTAGAAATGGCAGTCAAGAGCCACAGTGATGCAAGCTGAAGTCAAACCAAGAGGTGTTCCCTGCCACTTGTCTCTTATTTTGAACATGCCAACTAATTGCAGCCCACCCATCCATCCTTCCTTGTGCCAGAGGTGAGGGCTAAGCCATTGCTGCAGAAGTCCTCTTCAGCAGATAGCTGTTTATCTGGTCCTTGATTAATGGTAAGGGGGCTGCTCCTAGCTTTGTTTGGATGTTCAGACAGCAAGAGAGGACACTTGGTTTCAATATGTATATCTATTTGATTCAACCTCCAGCTAAACAATCCTGTTTTCCCTAAGAAATGAACATGGAAATGGTCAAATGTCCACAGGAACATTGGTACAGGAGGAGTATGTTCAATAATCACAAGATATGAGTCAGATGTTCAGAGTGTGATTTTGATATGAACCTTTATTGTGGGAGAGGGAGGGAGGGTTGAGCTATCTGAGAATCAGTTCTGGCTCAGTCCCTTGAGCCTGCTTGGGTGCGAAGGTTTCAGTTCTGTGTCAGTGACTCAGCTCTACTCTGTTCAGGGAAGATAAATTAGGTGCCACGTGCTTTACTCTTAGTGAAATAGGTTATTTTGGGGGAAATATGTGGAAAGTTACTTTTTAAGAAATTCCAGTGAATATGAAGGGCTCCTATCTGAAAAGATGCACATTTGGCTTGTTGTGAGAATTTTTTCCTTCCTTATGAAAAACATCTTGTCTTCAAATTTGTCTGGAACTGTTTACTACATTGCCCTTTTGAGTTGCACCAATAAGAAGGGAGTCAAACACCATTTCCAATAATACTCTGCTCAGTCATAGTGACAGTATGCCCCTGCCTCCCACGCTGCCACACCAGTCCCAGCCGAGGAGCACCTGTGAAGTCTGTTCTGCATCACAGCAGTAAGCAGTCACAGGGCCTATTAGTTATGCACAGCAGGAGAGACCTTGGGGTCAGTGTTAGAGTTATGTTTTTCATACGCATGCAAGACAGCTTACATTCTGCACTCTGGTGGCGTGCAGATGTCCTGGAGAGTAAGGCTCCTTTGGTTCCCTCACTTTTCCTTTTGCTAATAGACCCCAGGCTTTGTTCAGGGATCAGGCAACAATATGCTCATGGTAGTTAGGCTCAGTCTCAGAGAGGAGTCATGGATCATCCATTCCCCTTTGCCTGTGAATGGCGTAGGGATCATGCCAAAAAAAGAAACACTGCTTAGGGGTTTGGAAAAAGTATTTTCTTCCTAGTAAAAGAAATCTTGGTATGACTGAGCTGCTAAATCAATCCACCCTGCAACCCTAATTTTGGACTTCTTGTTTGGAGAGATAATAAATTCTTTATTGTTTAAACCCCATTGGATATAGTGAAAATTTCACCAAAAAGCATCCTAACTGGTCCTCACGGGTAGGAACCTGAATTTATTTCAACTTCTGGAAGACTGTTATGAGCCACAGACTGTCAACTCCTATACAAGCTGAGAAAATAAGCATTCATGGTAAACTGGGGTTATTGAGGAAATTGCAGTTGAATTTGCTCACCTGTAAAATGGGAATATCAGTAGTAACAATTTCAAAGTCTCATCCTGATGATTAATTTAACCCAGGCAAAGCTCTTAAAGCAGTGCCTGGCACATAGAAAAGACACAATTTAATTATCAAGTGTTGTTATAGAGATGAGGAGGCAAGAAGGATTGATCACTTGGGGCTAAATTAGGGATACCAACTAGGAACAAAGATACTCACTTGCAAAGAGAAAGATGATGGCAGACACTCTGGCATGGCTGGCTAGTAGTAAAGTAATATAGAGGAGATCATAATTACAGTTTACCAAGCCCTCTTCATCATGTTCATTCCCTTTGCATGAACACAATTTCCTCAATACCTACAGTTTACCATTAATGCTTATTTTTTCAACGTATATAGGAGTTGATAGTTTGTGGCTTATAATACTCTTCCAGAAATCGAAAGTAAATTCAGGTTCCTACCCCTGAAGACCAGTTAGGATGATTTTTGGTGCAATTTTCACTATATCAAATGGAGTTTAAACAATAAGGAATTTATCATCTCTCTATACAAGAAGTCCAAAATTAGGGTTGCAGGGTGGATTGATTTAGCAGCTCAGTCATATCAAGCTTTCTTTTATTAGGAAGAAAAGCCTTTTTCCGAAGCCCCATGTACTCCCGCTAACTACATGGGTGAGCTGGCTGTGACTGCAGCTCTCATCCAGAATTTGTCTCTAGGGTTGGTTTAGTTCACCTGGTGTGATAGACTGAATAATGAATGACCACTGTCCCCAAAGATGTCAATGTCCTAATCCTTGGAACCTATGAAAATGTTAATTTAGTTCAATGATAAAAGGGACTTAGCACATGTTATTACATTAGGGATCGTGAGATCGAGAGATTATCCTGAATTATCCAGGAGAGCCCAAGATCCTTATAAAAAGGAGGAAAGTCAATACTAGGAGATGTGATGATGGAAGCCACAGACTGGAGTGATGTGAGGAAGGGGCCACAAGCTAAGGAATATAGGCAGTCTCTAGAATCTGAAAAAGGCAAGGAAACAGATTCCCCCCTAAGCATCCAGAAGGAACACAGCCCTGCCTACAGATTGACTATAAACTTCTGACCCCTGAACTGTCAAGGAATACATCTGCATTGTTTTAGGCCACTAAGTTTGTGGTAATTTGTTACACCTGCAACAGGAAATTAATATACCTGACTAACCAGCTGAGACATGATCCCTAATTCCCTTTGTTAGTTTGTATGTTTCTGCTGCAAGTAACAGAAGCCTGAACTCAAAATAGTTTCTGCAGTTAAGGGATCTATTGTCTCACATATTAAAAACAGAGTAACAGAGTCAGGATGTTACAAGTTGGTTCATTCAACAGCTCAATGACATCATCAAAGATCCAGGGTTTTTTTTCCCCAAATCCTTGCTTTGTTTTTTTTCAGCACAAAGGTTTATCTTTTTGGGTTGACCCACTCATGGTCAAATGTGGTTGCTGCAGTTACACTCATGGTCAAAAGTGGTTACTGCAGTTCTAAGCACTATATCTTTACACGTTAACGTCTAAAAGTTGGAAGAGAAAACCTCGTCTTTCCTGTGTCATTTTCAAAGTACCAGGAATATTTCCCAAGAAGTCTCCCGGTAGGCTTTGCTTCTCACAGCATTAGCAAGAATGGAGTCATTCAGCCATTTCTAAACCAGTCGCTGAGAGAGGCATAGAATCAAGATCCACCTCCTGGGACAACTGAAGGGCTGGCCTCTTTTGAAGGTTGTGGTGGCCTAGTTCATGGCTTGTGTTAGTGAGTAAGAAGAGGGGAGAAGGATGGCACAGTTAGCAAATAGCAATGTCTGTTATACACCCTCTTCAAGGTTCCTTGTGAGCGGTCAACCTTACCAGACAGAACAATCTTCCAAGGTAGACGAGGGCTGTCTTTTAGGCAAGGAGTTCAAGTGTCTATAATTCTCACTCTTTTTGCTTAGGATCTTCTGACTAATGAAACACATTCATTTAGTTTATATTTTTATTTGCATAGGGTAAGCCCTAAATAAATGTTTACCAAATTCAGGGTCAATATTTGTGCCTCCAGTGATATTATTGTATTATTGTTTGATTCTCAACCATGTGGGCTGATATTTACAGTCTATTGGAGATTTCAGGAGGCATAGATACATAAAAGTAAAAGTACTAACTTTCACATAACATTTTCTTTGTGCCTGTCATACTTTACATAATTCTTTTAACCTTAGCTATAGGAAGTGGTACTGTTTTTAATTCCCATTTTATAGATAAAGAAATCTAGGCACAGAGAGGAAAACCATTGCTAATCCACAAATTCCTAAAGCAAAACAATTTTCTTCACAGCAGTATGTTGTTTTAATTATGGCTATATTTAAATGGATGAAATGTCTAGAAAGAAAATATTGGTAATTTATCTGGACGACTCCAAATACATATTTGATATGGTACCAGGAAAAGAGCAATTAGAGAGCCACCCCTTGCCACTGCTTAACCTTTCCCAAAGGGGTGGCTCTCTAATTATATTTTTAAGAAAGTAATAAAAATTTAGGAAATACATGTCTGATACATGATATAAACTGCAGGGAGATTTTATCCAAAAAATTCTTTTAGGTGTAAAATTAAACAAAATAAGCAGCATTCAAACCTAAATGAAGGGCTGACAAAAACAAAATGAAAAGTAATGTGTATGTGGGAAAGAAACCAACAGAAAAATATAAACTTTATAAATTGTGGCATAAAACTCATCAACTAGAGGGAAAATGTGAGATTTCAAGTAGTTGACTTAGAATCAAAATCCTTTGGCTTTCCCTAGTTGGAGACCAACATTTTTAATGGTTTTTATATGTTTGTATAACTATGTTGACTATTCTCTACACTAACCTCTTCTTTCAAAAGTATGTATGGAATATTGTGCTATAACCATTCCAGACTTAGAAGCCTAGACTCTGTTTTGGCTAGTGGGCTTTCCCAATCACTGTTTATCCATTTTACTGCTATTGGTTTTAGGTATAATAGAGCCAAATGTTTTCATCAATCATTTCATAAAGATAGGGATAGTAATAAACTTCATGTTAAATTTACTGATTCCCTCTAGGAGAGATAATTATGCCTGAAAATGCTGGTATCATTATGTTGGTTGGCACTGTAAGGGAAATTGAGATGGTTTTAAATAATCTACTGAACAGTAGGAATTTCTATACTGAGTAAATAAAGATTTGTTTTAAAAAATTCCCCTCATCTGAGTCCTGTTAGAACTAGACTATGTGATACAAAGTAAACCAAGGAATGCCTTCAGGAACACAAAATCCTGAAACACACAAAGGGAAATAAAAGGCTAATTTATGGTAAAATACAAAGCATAAAACACAAAAGTTCCTAAAGCAAAACAATTTTCATCATAGCAGTACATTGTTTCAATTACAGCTACATTTAAACATATGAAATGTCTAGAAAGAAAATATTGGTAATTTATCTGGATGACTCCAGATAAATATTTGATATGGTACCAGGAAAAGAGCAATGATCCAGATTTTCTTCTTTTCAGAACTTGACTCTAAAACTGTTCTTGTTATAACTTTAAGGAGTTGGTTAAAATAGTTCACTGATAATTACGAATGTACTTCCTCTTTGCATTTAGTTTCCCCGGCTGATTTATTCTTGCCAAGCAGTTCTGAACACATGATTTCCTCTGAATCTCTAGATTTTAAATTGACATTTCTATGGCATGCTGAATCATTGCGGGTCGAGTTTTAATTAGTCTCAGGCCTTTGGAAACCAATTCGGCAGAATACACAAGAGTCCTACAATGTTTGGGTATCTGACCCAATAGTTCTGATTATGGAAGTCACTTTCAGGAAATAAGACAAAATTCAGAAAATATATTTATGTTAAATAATGTTTGTCCATATGGTAATTATACTAGCCAAGATAAGAAATAATCTAAACGGCCAGTAATGGCAAGATGGTTAAGCAAATTATGATATAACCACTGAATGAGATGTTATTGTCTGCAACAGTTACAATAAAATGAGAAAATTCTTAAATATGACAAGTGCAGGGACATGTAGATGGCAGAATGCAAAATTGCATTTGGCATTTGATCTTACTTCAGCCACATAAAACAACAGGGTTGAATTTTAGTATCTCAATAACATATCAAAACTGCCTGTTGATAGCTCGGAAAAAAGCTAAGCTAAATATATTATTTAGGCACATATACACGTACATGTGTGTTTGCAAGTGTCCATGTGTGCATGATGAAACTAAAAGAAAGGAATGAAAAGCACAAAATTTGGGATAACAGTCACCTCTGGCAAGAAGGCACAGGTCAGGAGGCACCAGGGAAAACAAGTACAGGAGACATAAACATTTAACTTTTGGGCAGGGCAGAGGGTCTTTATTAATCATTATGTCATTTCATGATGAATAAACAGAATGAAGAGTGGCCATACATGGACCAGTGATTATTATGTGCCATAAAACAAGAATTCTGATTCATTCCATTTTCACCATTATTAAAATAGGAGATTATGAGTGACTTTTTTCGCTTTATACATAAATTTCTACAATTTCGAAATTTCTTTTTTTTTTTTTTTTTGACAGAGTCTCGGTCTTTCCTCCAGGCTGGAGTGCAGTGGCGCCATCTCAGCTCACTGCAACCTCCGCCTCCCGGGTTCAGGCAATTCTTTTGCCTCAGCCTCCCGAGTAGCTGGGACTACAGGTGGCACGCTGCCACCCCCGGCTAATTTTTTGTATTTTTAGTAGAGACGGGGTTTCACCGTGTTGCCCAGGCTGGTCGCGAACTCCTGAGCTCAGGCAATCCACCCGCCTCGGCCTTCCAAAATGCTGGGATTATCAGGCGTGAGCCACCGGGCCCAGCCAATTTCTAAATTTCTATAGTTAGCATTATACTTTTAAAATGTAAAAACAACAAACTGGTCTAGAAAGCTTGCAGATTAAAAATAAATTCAATAGATATGTTATACCTGCGTCTGGATGAGCTAAACTTACCCAATTAAGGCGAGGCAATTGAACAGAAAGCTAGAGGTTAATTAAGACTAAACTGCAAACAGTTGGTGGTTATATTATCTAGGCCTGATTTTATTTTTTTAGTCCTGATGATTTAGTCTTCTCTGAGTATCTGACCAAACTGGGCCTTAAGGTAACAAACTCAAAGTATTATATTTTCTTATAATAATCATAACAGCTAACATTACTTTAATAATTCATTAATTTTACTATGTGACAGGTACTGTGCTAACACTTTTCATCCATGGTCAGATTTAATGCTCACACTAAACATATGATAGTTATTAATATTATCCATATTTCACAGATGAGAAAACTGAGGCACAAAGATAGGTGCCTTGCCCAAAGATCACACCACCAGTAAATAAGGGAGCTCAATATCAGAGCTTAATATGGATCAACCCTCCTGCTGAGGAAATAAAAAAAAACTTTGTCCAATATTCATCTCAACAAATACTCATTTACCAAAGTGGAAGTGTAACAAGCCTAAGAGAGGATCCTAGGATTCAGCTCTTAGAACCCTGTGTGAGGTAGATTTAGGGCATAGGCTTTCAGGGTATGGGTCAGGAGACAAAAATTGGAGAAGTACAGATCCTATTAGTCCGTTCTCACGCTGCTATAAAGAACTGCCCAAGACTGGGTAATTTATAAGGAAAAAAGGTTTAATTGACTCACAGTTCCGCATGGCTGGGGAGGCCTCAGGAAATTTACAATCATGGCGGAAGGCACCTCTTTACAGGGTTGCAGGAGAGAGAATGAGTGCCAGCAGTGGAAATGCCAGATGCTTATAAAACCATCAGATCTCGTGAGAACTCAGTCACTGTCACGAGAACAGCATGGGGGAAACCAGCCCCATGATTCAATTACTTCCTGCTGGGTCCCTCCCATGACACGTGGGGATTATGGGAACTCTAGATGAGATTTGGCTGGGGACACAGCTGAACCATATCACTAGGATATAATGTATCCCAAGGATATATTGGCAGAATAATATAGTGCTTTGAGCATGGGATCAAGGGCTATAACTGCTTAGGTTTATATACTGGCCTCACCATCTTTTAGCTCTGTGACCTAGGAAAGATACTGGAGTTCTCCGTGTTTCAGTTCCTGTAACTGTGAAGTTGGGATAACAGTAGTACCTACCTCACAGAGTAATTGTGTGTATTCAATGAGTTAATCTATGGCAAGCACTTAGAACAATGCTTGGCATACAGCACGTACTAAATGTTAACTGTTATAATTTTAGCATACATTTTCACAGTTCTTAATCTTTATTCTCTTTCTCTCTCACCACCTCTCTCACCATCCTCACCTCAGTTCCCCACCTCATTGTACAGTCATAGTTTGCTCTGAATTATTTGGGAAATGAAACAAGGTGTAAATATAGAATGGAAGACAACCTTTATAATATTATAAATTCACTTTCATGATATGGAGTAGACTCAAAAATGCAGAAACAGGTATTTTTTGTATTTAAAACACCATAATTTTCTTTCTATGAATAGCATATTTGCATTCAAGTCTTAGCTCCATCATTAACTATATAATCTTGAGAAAGTCTCCACTCAGCCTCAGTCTTCTCACTTGACAGATAGAGGTGACAATGCCAGGATTGCCTCCTGAATGCTTTATTCTGGAGTGCTTCGGCAAGTTTCTTCTTTCATTCCATGATCCACATTTACATTTAGTGAGTACTTGCTTTGTGCCAGACTCGTGCTGGAGGCCTGACATGCAAAGTCTCTGTTACTTTGAGTAATTCATGCTGGAGGAACATGCAGTCCTAGACTGGTGTGTGTGTGTGTGTGTGTGTGTGTGTGTGTGTGTGCACGCATGCACACATGAATGCATGTGCAGGGGTGATGAGGCAGGGTATGGGATACGGATATTCCAATTGCAAATAACAATTTTCAAATTCTGGAAAATACATGAACCACAAAGAGGGGACTAATAGCTGGATTTATCTTGGCCATTCAGGAACAGGCTCCTTTCATTTTGAATGAAACATATACATGTTTCCGTGGGGTTTTCTTTTCACCTATAATTGCCCACACATGAAATATTTGTTTTGCATTTGTGTTGGATCTTTTACGATTCAACAGATCTTTAACCCAGCCTCTCAGGACAGAACATTTGTTATTGTTTGGCAGAAATTTTCTCACTGTTCATGTTCAATTATTCAGTTAGATAGAAAATAATGATATTACTACACTTTCATGCTTATCCCTTGACATTTTCCATAAATAGAAACTTTGTTCATTGGCTAAAATCCTGTTTAATACTATCAAATGTCAAAGGCAGGATTTAGTATACTAGTCTCGTTGGAGAAAAGAATGTAGGTCTCTAATTCAATTACAAATGAAACTGAATTTGATAGCCCCAGACTACCTGCCAATAATATTTCTGTAGCCACAAATAGCCTCTCAACTCAGCATTTTAGTTTTTGGTCAGGTCAGAAAAAGTTCTACTTTGGGTCATGTTAGTCATTAGTTTGCACATTTCTTCAAATGTTCATTTAGTACCCACCATGTGCATATCCATTCAGCAGAAAAGGCCACCAAGCTAACCAAGGCCATACCTAGATGGTGTCAACATTAAGCTACCCTACAAACCCCAAAGGCTATGGTTTTGGCATCTAAATAAAGGAAAAAGACTCCAGAAAAAAGTCTAAACTTTTTTTTTTTAATCTATCATCAGGATATTTGGTATTGCTTAAACTGAGCCAAAAATATTATATAATCTTGCTTCTCAAAATGTAATTCAAGAAGAAATACAAATGACTAATAAACCATAAAAAGATGCCTGGTCTCACAGTGATAAAAGAAATGAAAAATAAAACAAGACAAAATACTATTTTATCCTATTAAATTGGTAATGACTTGAAAATTGATAATATCCAATGTTAACAAGGGTGGACAAACAGGCACTCTTACTTAGCCAATGGGCCTTAGTATGGCATGATTTTTCCACTATAGATAGATCAGAAAGCTGAAAAAAAAAATAGTATGTTTTTTTTTCCAGAAGGAAAAAATCCTAATATGTATCCTTTGACCTTGAAATTCTACTTTTAAGGAATTATCTTAAGAAAATAATCATAAATGTACACAAATGTTTGCCTTCAAGGATAATTGCTGCACTGTTTTCAACAATTACTTTAAAAAATGAAACATCCAACATAGGGAATTGGTTAAATAAAGGATACTATACCCATAGAATGTAATGTATATAATCATTAAAAATAATGTTATGTTAGAATATTCTGTGACAAGAATATATTTGTTTTTTTCTTTTTCTCATTTATTTATTTATTTATTTATTTATTTATTTATTTATGAGACAGAATTTCACTTTGTCACCCAGGCTGGAGAGAAGTGGCACAAACTTGGCACACTGCAACCTCCGCTCCCAGGGTTCAAGCCATTCTCCTGCCTCAGCCTCCTGAGTAACTGGGACTACTGGCCTGTGCCACCATGCCAGGCTAATTTTTGTATTTTTAGTAGAGACAGGGTTTCACCATGTTGGCCGGGCTGTTCTCGAACTCCTGACCTCCAGTGATCCACCCGCCTTGGCCTCCCAAAGTGCTGGAATTATAGTCGTGAGCCACTGCGCCTGGCCATATTTATGATATGTTAAGTAAAAGAAAGAGATGAACCAACATGTTAGCAGTGATTATCACTAAATATATGAATCTAAGTTGATTTTTTTTTTTTTTTGAGACGGAGTCTTGCTCTGTTGCCCAGGCTGGAGTGCAGTGGCGTGATCTCTGTTCACTGCAAGCTCTGCCTCCCGGGTTCACACCATTCTCCTGCCTCAGCTTCCCAAGTAGCTGGGACTACAGGCGCCCACCACCACGCCTGACTAATTTTTTGTATTTTTAGTAGAGATAGGGTTTCACCGTGTTAGCCAGGATGGCCTCGATCTCCTGACCTCGTGATCCGCCCACCTCGGCCTCCCAAAGTGCTGGGATTACAGGCGTGAGCCACCGCGCCTGGCTCTAAGTTGATTTTTTAAATTTTTTTTCATTTTTTGTTTTTCTGTATTTTATGTGGTAAATGCATTTACCACTTTAATAAAAATACTTATAAGATATAATGTAATACTTTTAAGAAAAATATTTATGAAATATAATGCTTTTTAAACTCCTATAAACTTCTAAATGCTATTAAAGCAAACAGATGTTGGCATTCACCTTGCAATCCCTGTTAGAATAACTTTGTTAAAATATATATTCTGCTAGTTTTGTCAATTAAACTCCAAATAATATAGAATGTAATATTTGTTGAAAACACTGTAAACACATAGGATTCTAGTGCCCCTTGTTAAACATTTTGTATAATATATGAAGTGGTTATGCACTGTTTTAATGGACAGCTGAGATTTGCAAACTTGCACTCCTGTCCATGGGAAGCATAAGGAAATAATATGAACTATTGACAGATGTAGGTACTTTTGTGGTTGAATATAAAATAACAGAGGTAGAAAGCAAACCCTCTTTGCTATCCAGGGTGGCCTGCATTAAATTCCTGCCTCTGTCCTTCGCTGACTGTTGTATAGACTGAATTTTGTCTCTTCACATATATTCATGTGTTGAAGCCCCCAGGGTGATGATATTTGGAGGTGGGGTCTTGGTAATTATATCATGAAGGTAGAACCCTCATGAATGGGATCAGTGCCCTTGTAAGAAGAGACAGGAAAGAGATGAGCTCTCTCTTCACCATATGAGGATACAAGGAGGTGTCTGTTTGACAGTCAGGAGCTGAATCGGCCAGCACTTGAATCTTGAACATTCAGCCTACACAACTGTGAGAAATAAATTTATATTGTTTAAGCCACTCAGTTAACGGTATTTTGTAAGAACAATCTGAACTAAGACAGCTATGTTACCTTGGCTGACTCATTTAACTCCAGTAAAACAGAGATAATGATATTTACCTCTGCCCGTTGTTTTAGATTTAAATGAGAACTGGAGTAACAAGGGTAGAATTTACCTTGTACCTGGCAAGTAAGTACTCAATAAGCTTTAGCTATTGTTAGCATCAATAAGTTCATCACGTGACTCATGCATTTGAAACCTGCTCATTCCTATGTGGCTGATGTCAAATAGCAAGATTAGTCAACAACCTCCCACATTCCTCAATGTTCCCCAGGGAATAAAAAGTGCAAGAAATTGAATTTGAATTTGCAAATGCCCTTGCGTTCCTACTTTATTTTCCTCTGTGTGTGTGTGTGTGTGTGTGTGTGTGTGTGTGTTTGCCTTAAGGAATTTTTTTTAAAAAAAGTGGAGTAGAAGAAAACAGGAGCTGTACACCATAGTTAATATTGCAAAGCCTTGGAGAGTAATATATTCACTGCTTTGTGACCCAGAGGCCAGCAGGGGTTACGCTTCAGGGTATTCACTTTGATTTGCATAATTCTTTTTCCTCCTTTAAAGTTATTTATTTATTTATTTATTTATTTATTTATTATTGTAAAATCTTTTAAGTCCCTGGATGGGTGAAAATCTGAACAAATTGGTAAACATTCTTGAAGTCCAGCAAAGAGTCGTCTCAATACAAGGAAATGTCCTAAATTATTCAGTGCACTGGGGATAGGGAACAATGACCATTTAATGTGGTGAAATAATTAACCTGCTAAAACAATGAGCACTCACAGGAAAAATGCAGAAAAAGTTTACTTAAAAGAGGAAAACATTAGTGAGTTCTCTGTCACCTTCCAGTAGAATCAATAATTGAAAACTCTAGCTCCATGTCCAAAAGTAAAACCTCTCAGCCCGGTACAAGGCAGGGGAAAAAAAGTTGTTTACTTCCTGAAACACACAAAAGCTCATTTTTCAGATCTTAAAAAGAGATAATTTAGAAAAGGGATAACCACAAACAACACTTTCTACTGAGAACAAAAACCAAAGCAAAAAAAAAAAATATTTATGGACATTCCCAAGAAACCGCTATGGCAAATCTCACTGGAACTTTAATTCATGTGGAGGCTTTGAAACATCAGCACACAGCAGGAAATGAAAGGGCACTTGAGAAGCAAAGGACAACTGCAGTTTTCCCTCTATCCATACCTCTAGAAATTGCAAAGAACGTCCTTATTTTTAGTAAAATTACTATCACATTTACAAGCAGCAGTTCTGGACGCATGTCCTCAGCTCTGTGCCAGTATCACTGTGTCACTGTGGCTCCAGATCCACCAGAACATTTTGTTTTTCAAAAGCAGTTTCGCCTGAAAATACATTCACATGGAGAGTAAGGAATGAGAGCTGTAGTGAATAATGAGAACTCGGGGTCTGAGAACAACAGAAATCTGCAAGAGGTCTCAATGAGTATGTTATGAAGAAAAGTTCTTTTTTAGCTCCCGGTGAATTCCTCAGCAATTAGTGGTTTCTCTTGAAATGATAGCAGTTGCAAGAACTGAGGCCAGAGAGCCATTGCTTGGCTACATCATGGGAATATCCTTGGCCTCTGAGCAAAACAAGCTGCATAGACTTATTGTGGCATGAAATATGTTTTTCAAAGCTGTACGGGCCTCTTTTTAATAATATATGAAGCAAGCAGACAGATAATCAAAGTAAACAAAGAAAATTTGTCCTTAATTAGGATTCTATAGATATTGCAAAGTCGATAGGTGCATTCATACTATAAGGTGTTGTTTCCAAGCAAGGAAATGTGTCTCAGTGTGCCAAACTACCCTCCAAGAAGTCACTTAAACATCTGGACAAATAATATCCAAGATAAATGGTCGTGGGATGTTGCAAGTAAAAATCACTCTAATTTTTGGGGATTACTCAAAAAAGATATAACAGAAAGCCCTGAAATACCACGTACTTCTAAAACCATCGTATTTCCTTAAAGACAATCTATTATTTTTATTTTGCAATTTTTTTGCTATTGCTAAGACAGATTTGCCACCCTCTCCCATCAAATGCCTGATTATAAAAGAAATGCATGTTCATCAGAGACAACTGGAAAGAATAAAAAAAAAAGTCACCTATCATTCCACTGCCCAGGTGCTGACATGATTAACATACTGGCTTATTTTCCTATTTTTTATTTTTATTTTACTTTAAGTTCTGGGATACACATGCAGAACATGCAGGTTTGTTTCACAGGTATACATGTGCCATGGTGGTTTGCTACACCTATCAACCTATCATCTAGGTTTTAAGCCCCAAATGCATTAGGTATTTGTCCTAATGCTCTCCCTCCCCTTGCTCCCTACCCCCCGACAGGCCCCAGTGTGTGATGTTCCCCTCCCTGTATCCATGTGTCCCATTTTTCAACTCCCACTTATGAGTGAGAACATGCGGTGTTTGATTTTCTGTTCCTGTGTTAGTTTTCTGAGAATGATGGTTTCCAGCTTCATCCATGTCCCTGCAAAGGACTAAACTCATTCTTTTTTTATGGCTGTGGATACTGGCATTTTTGTTTCTTGATATTTTTCTACATACTTTTAAAAACTTAGCTGAGATCATACGGCATAAGTGAGGTTTTTTCTCTTCATGTATCAGAAATTCTCAGAAGTCATGAAGAACATAGTTGCCATTTTGAAGACATAATCATGCTTCATTACCCAAATACGCCATAATGGGCTTAACTGTTTTCTCTCTTTTGTATATCTGTACACTCTTGGAATGTTTTATTATTGCAATTAATGAAAAACCATCCCTGTCAAAATATGAAAGAATTTTACCTTTATTTATTTGTGTGACTATGTGTACATCTCAATTTTGAGTGCCGACATCAGACATTCTGATTTATCTAATATTTGTTTTCTTTGATGTAGTCCCTCAAAAATTAAGAGGAGTATACAAAGTATGCTCTTAATGTATACAAAGTATCCTCTTAATGTATCTAGAGCATAAAAAGAACACCTACAATTCAATCATAAAAATACAGGCCAGGTACAGTGGCTCGCACCTATAATCTCAGTTGTTTGGGAGGCTGAGGCACGAGGATCACTTGAGCCCAGGAGTTCAAGACTGGCCTAGGCAACATAGTGAGACCCTATCTCTACAAAAAATAAAAAAAGTATCCGACTATGGTGGCACACACCTGTAGTCCCAGCTACTTGGGAGGTTGAAGTGGGAGGACTGCTTGAGCCCAGGAGGTTAAGGCTGCAGTGATCTGTGATTGTGCCACTGTACTCCACAGCCTGGGTGACAGAGTGAGACCCTGCCTCAAAATAAATAAATAATTAAGAACAAATTTTTTTCTAAAAAAAAAGACAAATCATTCCATTTTAAAGTAGGCAAACTAGGCCAGGTGCCATGGCTCACGCGTGTAATCTCAGCACTTTGGGAGGCTGAGGTGGGGGGATCACTTGAGCCCAGGAGTTTGAGACCAGCCTTGGCAACATAGTGAGAACTTGTCTCTACAAAAACTAAAATTAAAAAAAAAATAGCCAGGCATGGTGGTATGCATCTGCAGTCCCAACTACTTGGGAGGCTGAGGTGGGAAGATTGTTTGAGCCCAGATGTTCAGGGCTGCAGTGAGCTATGACCGTGCCACTGCACTTCAGCCTGGGAAACAGAGCAAGACCCTGTTTCAAAAAAAAGAAAAGAAAAGAAAAGAAAAAAGCTGTCTTTACAAGACAGTTTTCAGACATTACAAATAGAGAATTATAGAAGACTCGTTTTATACCAATTTCTGCTCCACATATAGTAAATTGTGTGTGAATATAGACAATCTGCATAACACCTATTTGTGTAGTACAAACGGCACACCAGGAAACATTGCAGTGAATTGTTCATGTTTCTCTCTTCTATTTAACAAATACTACAGTCTGTTAATGCAGCAAATATTGCAATTTAGAGTATTCTCTTTTAACTTTAATTGACTTCATGAATGATGAATTTTTAATTATTTAATATTTATTTATTTTTAATTTTAACTTTTCTTTTTTTTGAGACAGGGTTTCACCTTTTTGCCCAGGCTGGAGTGCAGTGGAGTGATCACAGATCATGGCCACCTTGACATCCTAGGCACAAGTGACCCTCCTGCCTCAGCCTCCTGAGTAGCTAGGACCACAGGCACGCACCACCGTTTACAGCTAATTTGTAATTTTTATTTTTTGTAGAGATGGAGTCTTTCTATGTTGCCCAGGCTGGTCTCAAACTCCTGAGCTCAAGTGATCCTCCTGCCTTGGCTTCCCAAAGTGCTGGGAGGGGCGTGAGCCACCACGTCCAGCTACATTTTTGGTTTTTTAAACAAACATATGAAAATTTAAAATTTTAATCCAATTTGTTTTCAATTCAGATTATGCATATTCCATTCATTTTCCCCAGGTTTTAAAATTTATTCTTAGGAAATGTAATTAATATTTGGTGTGATAGGAAAGGCAAAGCCTTTTGAAGTCAGGTAAACTTGAGCTCAAATCCCAGCTTAGGGTAATTAATTAGGTAACTCTGAAAAGTTGTCTAACCTCTCTGAGACTCAGTTTTCTGACCTATAAAATAAGGATAATATTTGATTTGCAGGGTTGCTGAGATTAAATGAAACATCTTGAATAAAAGAACCACATATAATTCCTGATTCATAATGGGCCCTTGGCAAACTTTATTCTTTCTCTTTTAATTTATACATCATATGTCTCAGAATATAAACATACCCACAGGAAATATTTTTATATAGACACACACACACACCATTTCATAAAAATGTATATTGTAAACAACTTCTGAAATTAAATTGACTACTTAGATGCAATATCGTGGGATTATTTGTAATGTTCTTTAAGGGTACTGGAGCCCAGCCAAAGTAATTAAATCTTTAGCAAATTTAGTAATAAAAAAAGTCCCCAGCCATTGGCCATTGTAATTATTCTATTTCTGGGAAGAAAGGGGACAGGTTTATTTGTAGTATCCCATGCTTAATCATTAGTATTAAATGAATTAGGACCAGAACGAATCAAAGAAGCAAACAGCTGATTACGGCTGCTTTGTAAGAGAAAGAAGTAGTTGATGTTCACACAGGTTAAAGCAGCCAAAAAGGCCTCTAAATAAATGGCCAAGTCTTTTTCTCCTTTTAAACTTGTTTTCTATGGTCTTTAGTTTGTGATTACTTAGATATTCACTTATTTCAGAGGCCTTTTTGTGCAAATCCCAATTTAAAACCTAATCACGTTCTTATTAAATTGGGCTAACGACTGCTTTCAAAAGAAGAAACAAACTACAATAATTTATCTATAAAATTTGACTTTCTATGACTATACAGGCAATTAATTCAATTCTAAAAATGACAAAATTTAGTCATAAAATGATCCAGGCTGAAATGAGGAAAGATCATTAAGTCTCATAGATTTATTCATGATTATCGACATATATAGAGAGAGAGTAAAGGAGGATTGTGATATGCATTATAGAACACGGAGAATCTGTGTTTTGTTAATTCAATAATTCCCTCTTATTCTTTTCCCCACATATATTTTGCAGCCATTGTTTGTTATTCAGTATAGCTGGAGCAACTGTCCACTTGCAATTGTGTCTGTAATTGGTGACCCAGTTGCATTTTACAATCTGGCTAGAAATATCAGTATAATTAGCATATATCTTTCCTTTGGCCTTTCAAAGGGGTATTGCCATCACTAAATTTAAATTCCAGTGGTGAAACCACAGAGAGTGGAATCCTAGCAACTAATTATAAAATAATCCATTTTTTGCTTATTCTGGGAGTTGATCATAGCACAGGGTTGGCACAGGACCTAAACGTGAGAGATAATTCATCTGACCCAACCACAGTTTCACCCACCCTATCCATTGGAGGCATTCTTGAACATTTTCTTTAGTATATTTTATTTTATTTTATTTTATTTTTGAGACAGGGTTTCACTTTGTCGCCCAGGCTGGAGAGCAGTGGCACGACCTCAGCTCATGTCAGCCTTGACCTCCCGGGCTCAAGCGATCCTTCCACCGAAGTCCCACAAGTAACTGGGACTACAGGCATCTGCCACCACACCCAGCTAATTTTGTATTTTTTTGTAGAGACGTGGTTTCACCATGTTGCCCAGGCTGGTCTTGAACTCCTGGACTCAACTGATCCACCAGACTTGGCCTCTCAAAGTGCTGGGATTACAGGTGAGCCACTGCACCTGGCCTTTAGTAATGTGTTTTACAGGGAAGGACTTTTCAACAAGCTGGATGATTGGCTTGTTTCCTGCAAGAAAAAGTTACATTTCCATCTAAAAAGATGGAAAAGTGTGTGTGTGTGTGTGTGTGTGTGTGTGTGTGTAAATTATATGGGAAAATGTTGGAACTTCCCTATTCTCACTAGAAAGCTTTGATAGATAAGTCAGAAGATATGGAAAGACCTGTATTTTCAGGTATGGAAAATATTGCAAAAGAGGTAAATTGATAGAGTTAAAGGAGGCATGAGAGTGCAGTCTCCTGGTTCTGGAAGCCAAGGCATGGCCAAGCTGAGTCCCCAGCAGAAGGCCTTGACAATGACTTTGTATCAAGAAATTCAAGCTTCAAGATATTGAGGGCCCATGAGAACCAGAGCATGTTGTATTGGAACCTACTGCTGCTTTCTAATAAAGGTATGAAGCTTACAGTGCTACAAAGAGGATTACTGAAATGGTCTTACTTGGATCAATAATTTCTAAGAGCCTGCCCTTCCCAGGCCCTTCTCCAGTACAAGAACTGATGTGTTCCCACAAAATAACTTGAATTCAATTCCGGGATAAGCCAGATCTTTGGAGATTATTGGACCACATTGCTTTAACATCTAGTACCTTGTTTTCCAAATAAGTGTCCTTGCTTAATATTTAAAAAGATGTTAGTAAGGTTGAAGTAATTATGAAATACATTACATATTACAATCCTCATTTGAAGATTCCTTGTGTAAATTAAAGCCTCCAAAGAATCCTGCAGTAAAAATGCAAGTTTAACACTGTTAAATATGGTGTTCCCAAAACATAGTTGGGCACAGAACTCTTAGTGCCACATATCTTTGCCACATTATGAGGAATGTGAGTTTGGGAAACATGGATAATTATGTCAATTAAGATGCTTTCAGCTGCTAATAATAGAAAACCCAAAAGAAAATAGCTTAATCTAACAGATGTTTATTTTAATCATATACTGAAAAGTCAAGAAGGAGATGACTGCTGTTACTGCTCCAGTGACTTCTGTGGGTCAATAATGTCAGGGCCAGCATCTCCAACATTCCCTTGTCCCTGAGGACAAGGTGAGGAGGTATAAGGCTGTCAGCAGCATTTCTGCTTTTCATCAAGGTATCAAAAGCCTTTCAGAAGCCACCCAGCAGACTTCCAGTTCATCCCTAATTCCAACTGAGCTGGAATAGCCTCTATAGTGGAGGCAGGCAAGGGAGAAAGACCTTGGCTATGACTGGTGAGTTGGCCAACCTACAGTGCCCTTAGCAATGGTAGAATTACCTTCAGGGACTTGTATTGTGGTTTTATACTTCCAGCTTCCACCAAGAGACACGGTTAGAACTAGTTACATGAAATCTACTGCTTTTATAGTGAAGAACATTCAGTTCATGTTGTTGTTGTCCAAAATAAAAGAATAGCTGTAATAAGATCCACATGAGAAACTCTTCTCAGGCACAATGCTATCTTCCCCCTCCCATGCTCATTCCAGAGACAACGTTAACCCCTACACAACTTTTGGTTTTATCTTAGCCCTAGAAGCCACATTCTTGGTGTTGGATGGTTCTCTACAAGGTCCTGCGATATTCTCAACATGCACTAGGGAACTGGGCAAGGTTCTTGTCACTGCTCTAAAATCCAGAGATTGATCTCTCCTTATTTGCTTCTGAGCTTTTTCTATTCTTTTTAAACTGTACTTTCCCCAAAAGACTAAAGTATTTACAAATAAAACCCCAGAGGAAAGTTTCGAGTTTTTCCCCCCATTTTGAGTAAAATAATATATCTCCCTTGAGACAAAGAAGCACAGCCTTCTGATGGAAAAGGGAAAAATATAGGCAGAAATGATAAATTAGTATCACAAAGATTGCTTGGCTCCAACGATTATTCAATAAACTCTTTAATCGTAAATGAAAATATTTGGTATTTAATGTCTGTCTCTCCTGATAGATTATAAGCTCTATAGTGTTAACACACACTGCTCAAGGACTATTCTGTCACTCACCTTTTGCCAAATTTTCTCTCTTCAAGCCACACCCACCTTCATCTTCTTCACTCTCAGCAGAAGACTGGCTGCAATCTTCTTAGTAAAGGAAAAACTGATTAGCCCTCTACTTCACATCTCTATTATCATCCACCTTCTTTTTCTTCATTTTTGTCCATGAGAAGAAAACTATTCTTCCTTCCTCTACCCAAGGCTGACCCCTCCATTTTTTGCTTGTGGTCAGTCTCATCACTTTTTCTGGCTTTTTATTTTTCTTTTTTATTTATTTATGTATTTCTTTTAATTTTATTGAGACAGAATTTTGCTCATCACCGAGGCTGGAGTGCAATGGTGTGATCTCGGCTCACTGCAACCTCCACCACCTGGGGTTCAAGCAATTCTCCTGCCTCAGCCTCCTGAGTAGCTGGGATAACAGGTGCCCACCACCATGCCTGGCTAATTTTTGTGCTTTTAGTAGAGACGGGGTTTCATCATGTTGGCTAGGCTGGTCTCAAACTCCTGGCCTCAGGGGATCCACCCGCCTTGGCCTCCCAAAGTGTTGAGATTACAGGTGTGAGCCACTGCGCCCGGCCCTTTTTCTTTTTTAGAGACAGGGTGTTGCTCTGTCACTGGGGTGGAGTGTAGTGGTGCAATTATACCTCACTAAACCCTCAAATTACTGGTCTCAAGCAATCCTTCCACCTAAGCCTCCCAACTAGCTGGGACTACAGGTGTGTACCACCATGCAGAGTTAATTGTTTTATTTTTGTAGAAATGGGATCTTGCTAAGTTGCCCAGGCAGGTCCTAAACTCTGGGCTCAAGTGATCCTCCCACCCCGGCCTCCTAAAGTGTTAGAATTATAGGTGTGAGCCACCACACCTGGCCATTCAGCGTTTTCTATCATCAATCATCTTGCCCTCTCATGCACTTCAACTGCTGCTTCCATGTGGACCCCATCTCTTTGTCCACAAAGATTTTAAAGTCCTCCCCATCCTAAAACATTTTTAAAACACTCTTCAAACTATGCTTCTCTTCCGCTTTTCCCAGATTTCTTGAAAGAATAATCTGTACTTGTGGCCTCTATTTTCACATTTTCTTTTTTCTTTTTCTTTCTTTTTTTTTTTTTTTTTTTTTTTTGAGACGGAGTCTTGCTCTGTCGCCCGGGCTGGAGTGCAGTGGCGCGATCTCGGCTCACTGCCAGCTCCACCTCCTGGGTTCACGCCATTCTCCTGCCTCAGCCTCCTGAGTAGATGGGACTACAGGCGCCCACCACCACACCCGGGAAATTTTTTGTATTTTTAGTAGAGACGGGGTTTCACCGTGTTAGCCAGGATGGTCTCGATCTCCTGACCTCATAATCTGCCCACCTAGGCCTCCCAAAGTGCTGGGATTACAGGCATGAGCCACCATGCCCGGCCAACTTTCACATTTTCTTAACCACTTGCAAACTCACCATTCGAGTGAAATTATTATATTTAATGATCATCTATCAGTCCTCTTCCTCTTGGAAGTCTGTTAGACAAAGTTAATTCAGATGAGACTTGTTTCTCCCTTAGCTTATGACGTTGCACTGCCTTGTCTCCTTCTGGCCTCTCCTCCCATCTTAATTATGCTCATGCTAGGAGAACTAGTTAAACCATCATTGCAATAATCTAGATTGAGGTCAAGAAACTAAATGTCCTTATGTCTGCTTTTGTAAATTAAGTTTTATTGGAACATCCTTTGTTTGCTTATTGTCTATGGTTGCTTTTGCGCTCCAGCCGCAGAGTTGAGTAGTGACAGGGTCTAGCTTGGAAAGCCTGTAAATTTTAATAACTGGCTCTTTATAGAAAAAATCTGCTGACCCCTTTCTAGATGATCTAGACAATCTAGATCTAGATGAAAGACTGTCTACTAGAAGGAATCAAGAGGGGATTATTATAAAATATATTAAGGAAATATAAGTGATTGAAGTTAACAACTAATTGGAAAGAGTGCTGTAAGAAAACACAAACTTTTTAATGACATGTAGAGATTTCCAGTTCATGTGTGGGTGAACAGTACTATGTTAACTAAGGAAGGTAACATGGAGCAGGAAGTTTGGGTGAGGAGGTGATACCAAAAGGGAGAATATGATCATGATTTTACTTAGAGCTATTTTATATCTGAAGTTACTTATATCATATCTAAACCTCAGAACCCAGGAATAAGATCTGGGCTAAGGTGAAAAATTTGGGAATGCATTTGTGTCAGAATAAGAAAATTCGGAACTGTAAAGGGAAGTGTTAGAATTTAAAAGTTCCAACATATACCAATTTCTCCTTCCTACAGATTAAATTAATTGTCAAGATCTGCACACCATTTGTCTCTCATCACACTTCAAATCCTTTACCTGGTAATTCTATCATGTACAGTTGACCCTTGTTATTCCTATGAATCAACTGTTGTTCCACACCTGTGAATTTACCTACTTGCCAAAATTTATTGGAGCTCCAAAATCAACCTGTATGGTTCTTTTATGGTCATTTGCCGACATATCCAGAGTGGTAAAGAAATTCGAGTCATCAGACACAACTCATTCGGAGGTTGAGCAAGATGACAGTCTGCCTTCTTGTTTCAGCTCTCATACTATAGAACAAATGCCCTTTCATGGGCAATTTAGTGTCCTTTTTTTTCACATTTTCATGCTTTTAATTAGTGATTTCACTATTTAAAATGACCTCAAAGTATAGTACTGAAGTTCTGCGTAGTAGTCCTATGTGCAAGAGGGTTATGCTGTGACTTACAGAGAAAATGAAGCAGCCTCGTTGTCTGGGGTAAATACCAAGGTTCTTGGTCTCACGGCCAAGGAAATTGAGGTCGCGGACACACACACAGAGTAAGATTGGAGCAGGAGTTTAATAGACAAAAGGAAAGAACAGCTCTCTGTCACAGAGAGAGGGGTCCCACCCAAGAGGGTTGCTACTCTGGAGGCTGGGGCAGGAGAATCGCTTGAACCTGGGTGGCAGAGGTTGCAGTTGCCAGGTTGTAGTAAAAATGTCAGGGTTTTTATACGTGGGCTAGTGAGAAAGGGGGTATCTTATCCTCCTAGGGCCCGAAAATTTTGGGTGAGACCAGGTTTGCTATATGCATAGAGCAGAGTTTCTATCAGCCTTTACCTGATTGCTTCATCACATAGGCAGACTTTTAGTGTGTGTTGCTGTGTGCTGCTTTGTGTCGCTTATTTGGGAGGGAGAGTTTCTGTGTCTGTTCCCAGACATTTTCTTGCAGCTGCAGACATTCCCCCACAATGTCCGCTTCTAGCTTCCCTATCTTAGTGTGCCTAAAGGGAAAGGAATGTGCTTATTAAGGCCCACTGTTTTTACTGGGGCCCACTGTATGAGTGTGAAGTTTAGTGATTATCCAGGAGACTCGCCCCCTCCTTCTGTGACCGAGTTGTTTATCTGTGTTTTACAGCCTGACCTGATCTTCTTATCTGTCCAGGTACACCCCAAGTTTTTCCCAAGGCTGTTTTATTTTTTGCCTGTTGCTATGTGACTTTTCAGGCAGGCTGCTTCTGCTGTCTGAATTTTTCCAATGATTTTTCCTTTCCTTCTCTCTCATTCCTCTCTTCAGGAGAGGAAACCCTAACTGCTGTTAGGCAGATGGGTGTTGATCTTTCTGGCTACTTCCTGCTGGAGAGGGGAATTGTGTGGGGAACAGCAGCTAGGATTCCTCCAGGGGCTGGTATAAGGGTCCTCAGATGAAACGCATGTTTATACGTGATTCCATTTGCATTACCACTTGGAGCTTGATAGCCTCTAGGCAAAAAGAAATAATTTGGGTTATTAGGGGACATGTATTAAAACGAGACAAGGAGGGGATAAGCTTAAAATCTTGAGGCTGCTGACACTCCCTGATAACTGGTGGCTATAGTTATGCCTGTTAAGATTTGGGTGTATGGGCTGGGCACGGTGGCTCACGCCTGTAATCCCAGCGCTTTGGGAGTCCGAGGTGCGTGGATCACGAGGTCAAGAGATTGAGATCATCCTGGCCAACATGGTGAAACCCTGTCTTTACTAAAAAAAAAAAAATAAAAATAAAAAATAAAAAGATTAGCTGGGCGTGGTGGCACACGCCTATAGTCCCAGCTACTCGGAGGCTGAGTCAGGAGAATCGCTTGAACCTGGGAGGCGGAGGTTGCAGTGAGCCAAGATCTAGCCACTGCACTCTAGCCTGGCGACAGAGCGAGACTCCGTCTCAAACAAACAAACAAACAAACAAACAAACAAAAGATTTGAGTGTTTGGGGCTCGGTTGTGTTAAACTTTCTTGATTTTATCCTTCCAAAGAGATTTTTGGGTTATGGGCACCCTATTTATTCCTATTACCCAGCAGGATCTGCAGGATAATTGCTTAGAACTAGAATATTGATCCAGATTTTTACATTACCCATTCCTTTTTGTCTCCGTTGAGCCACAGCTGGAGATTGGTGGTTGGCTCACAGGAATAAGCATGGTTAGTTTAAAATGTAGGCAAAAACTTAAAAACAACTAATGAGACTAGATGTTAATAATAGATTCATGATAAGTTTGGAACATATTTTCCCTCTTCTAGTCCTCATATCTGTTAAAAACAAATTATGATAGGACTGAGTTGTTTGCAAAATAGACTTTAGTTTTAAACTTGGTTTGATTATTTGCATAAAGTGCAACAAGAATAACTATTTTTACATAGGCTTTTTTTTTTTTTTTTTTTTTGGAGACCAGTCTCATTCTGTCACCTAGGCTGGAGTGCAGTGGTGCAATCCTGGCTCACTGAAACCTCTGGCTCCTGGGTTCAAACAATTTTCCTGCCTCAGCCTCCCAAGTAGATGGGATTACAGGTGCCTGCCATCATGCCCAGCTAATTTTGTATTTTTAGTAGAGACACGGTTTCACCATGTTAGCCAGGCTGATCTCGACCTCCCGACCTCAGGTGATCCACTCACCTCAGCCTCCCAAACTGCTGGGATTACAGGCGTGAGCCACTGCGCCCAGCCACACAGGCCTTTTAGATTTGCTTTGATGGAACTTTATTCCACAAGGAATCTTAGATAAGATTCCTTTCTAAATCCCAGCCCAGCCATGGGTTTGTACCTTCAAATACCTGTGAGTTGGGTAAACTTCTTTCTTCTTGAGGTTCCAAGAGCATGGAGTTCCTAGGCCTGTCAGAAAGTGACATTCTTTACTCACCACAGGTTAGGAATCCCGTATGGAGATGGTGTAGCCAAGGAATGAGGCCAGTTTCCCAAGGGGCTTTTATTGGCTCTGCAAGTCAAGCCTGACTTCTTAAAGGGAAACACACCCTTCCCGTCAAAGGCTTGTTAAAACAACCAGTTTTTCCAATTGTGTCCAGCTGCAAAATAAAGTGGATTCTTATTGCACTGATGCAAACAACTATATGTTACAACTAGTTTTTAAATTCTGGAGGAACCAGGCAGAGAGGAAACAAACATGCTTGAAACTTTGTTTACAGGAGTATACTTTACTTAGTTGTTAAAGGCTGTAGCTAGCTCAAGACAAGTTTCCTTGACTTTGAAAAATAAAATAAGGATCAGCAATGTTCCAAGAATAAATCAAGAATATTGCTTTAATTTTCTATTAGTTCAGTCCGCTCAGTTAACTCTTTTTCTGCTTGATATTTGTAAACGTTTCAGCTTTTTATGAGTTCTGTACATTTTTTTAATCAGAAATCTGTATTTAAGAGCACCTGTTAAAGTTCCATAACTGATTATAAACTTTTTTTTAAGAAGAAGAAGATTAAAACAAGACAACAATTCCCTGTAAATGACAAAATGTCCAGGGTGTTTACAGTCAAGAATATGATTGACAAATTTGGTTATTTCCATGGCTTACAATAACCCAACATAACAACCTTAATTGTGATTAATAGCACATATTCAGACATTGGAACTTTGGACATCTCTTACAGTTTTGGAACATATGTTGATATTATTCCCTAAAATATAACCTGAAGAGTATTAAACATCATTTTGGCAATTCTATGTACCAAACATATTAAACAACTCTGTTTGCCTCTCTTCCAGAAGCTCCAGAGGCTCTCTTCAGCACCCAAAAGACAGGGGTCAGGAAAGACAACCTTGAGACTAAAGTTTGATTTGGGGAAGCCTGTTAAATATGTTCGAAATTTAAAACACTTGATATTATGAAACATAATTTTTAGATTACTCTATTTGTTTTGCCAAAATGGTGAGTCAAAAATTTGAAAAAGCAAAAGCCATTCATCAGCTTTTTCTATTACATGAAAATCCTGTTCAAGAGAGAAAGTTAAATTTCACCCTTGCATTAGTTTGCTATTAATGTTAACCCTAATTTTTAATGAAACCTTATAGACAATCCTACTTAATCTTAACCAGTTTGACCATGAGGTAAGATTTTTACATATCCGTTATAACCCTTGACAAGTTTTGCTAAAGAGTGGATTGGCATCTTAAGAAAACCTTGTTGTGCTTTTATTCCAGTGTTTAATTTACAGAAAAAACCATATAATACCCTTTTGAATTTAGTTAATATGTTCACACACAGAGTTTCCTTTGCAAGATTAATGTTTATAATCTTTTTACAATTTGCTGAAACCTTCTGCTTTATTTTAATTTAAGACAATCCTTTGTTTCTGGGCAAAATGTACCTTTCCATGCCTTATAATCTTTAACAAGAAACACCTTTTACTGCCTTTTTTTTTTTTTTTTTTAACACATCTTGCATGCAATTCCATGTTCGGTAATTTCAACTACATGTCATAATGGTAACTCTTAGAAATTTTTACTTTAATGTAAAACCTGGTAGGTTGTTTTAATTATGTACTAGATGCAGATAAAGTTTGATTCCTTTTAGCATAGTTAGGGGCATGGTTACTTCCATATGTTCTCAGGCCTTATCAAATGTGAAGCAGGCAAGCTGGACAGTTTTTAAAGGCTAAAGAAGCAGTTTACAATCTTAAAACATTTAGCAAACCTAGTATCTGACCTGTGTAATTTAGACCACATTTTTACACCTTGAAGTCATTTATATTTTACCAATAATTCTTAAGACTTTTTTTATTTTTTAAGATTAAAGTCACGTGAACTGAAAGGTACCACAGCTTTTACTTTTTTCTTAAAAATATTTGATTTAAGCACTTATTTTTCTTAGGCCAATCAGAGCTCTTTTTAAAAAGACATTACACACATAACACACATATAATCACACAGACAAACAGAAGATCCAGTAGTTATATGATTTACATTTGCCAATTTCCTAGTTGGATTATTGGCCTCCGGGTGAGGCCCTTTAAGAATAGGACTAGGAATACAATTTCCAGGGCCTAATAAATAGGCATAGCCAGAAGACAAAGACAGATTTGGAGAGATACTTATTCCCTTCTAATTCCAGGAGTTCCATGAGGAAAATAGAGATTTTTCCCAAAATGGGATTTGTGGCAGCTTTTCTGTTTTCCCAAGGAGTCCCAGGCTACCAGAAGTTATTCTAGGGTCTTTCATGCATGCACCAGGAGGGGCAACACGTAGTGAAAAGAGTAATTCAGTTGACTGAGAAAAAAAAACCTTTTCCAGGAAAACAGATTTATGAAGAGAAAAACGGCCTTTTAAATATATCCATAGCTTGGATATCCACTTTCAATTAAGCTGAGCACTCTTTAAGACAATCCTTTTTCCTTAATTAAAACTTTACAGAGAATATAAACAGTGATTCTTACCATTTTTTCCCTAGTTTGCACTACTACCTGTTTACAATCATGTTTAGGTTCTCCAGTTTTCTCTGGGAGAAAGTGGCTGGGCTCAGGCAAGGGCAGGTTTCAACTGGCCTACAGATCCCTTTGGCAGCAAGGCTTGATACTTAAGGGGGAAATTGTCTGTTACCCAGAGCCCTTCCTTAGAGGACAGCAGTCCTGCTATACTGTGGGGGGTTACACAGTTATGTTATTCCCTGTGGTTAACCCAGTGGCCTCTGGCATCAGCAAAGCCACTGCTGTAACTGCTTGGAGGCAGGCTGACCATCCTTTAGCCGCCAAGTTAAGTTCTTTGCTTAAGTAACCCACCAGCTATTGAGCTGGACTTTAAGCCTTAGTTAAAACTTCCAGGGTCGTTTCCTTCATTTTTGATACATAGAGCCTGAATGTTTTCCCTATGGGAAGACTGAGGGCTAGTGTTTTAAGTAAGGATTGCTTTAGCAGGTTAAAGGCTCTTTTGAGCCTCAGGTTCCCAAAGCAGGTGGGGGCGAGTTTTAACTGAGTTTCTCTTATGAGGTGATATAAAGGGTGAGCCATTTCCCTGTACCTAGGTACTCACAGACTGCAAAATTCAGTAATGACAAATGAATCCCCTTAACTGTTAAAGGAAATGGGCTTAATCCTTCCTTTATCTGGTGCTCTGGTTCCTTCTGATAAGATTAGACCTAGGTACTTTACTGAAGTTTGACAGAACTGAGCTTTAGATTTTGAGACCCTATACTCCCTTTCAGCTAAGAAATTGAGGAGAGCCTCAGTGCCTTTCTGAGACTTCTTTGATTGGGGCATGGAGGAGAATGTCATTTACACACTGCAAAGTTGTAACTTGAGGGTAAGAAAAACTAGAAAGATCTTTAGACAGAGCCTGTTTCAGCAACTTTATTTTGATATCAGGGGCTGCCTAAGTAATGAACCTGTTTCTTATTGAATTGGGAGATAGGGAGGTATATTTTATTCAAGCTTCTCTCAGCCTTTCCAAAAAGGCAGAGGGGTTTCCATCTGGTTTCTGGTTCAACAAGGACAGTTTAGAGTAATTAAGAGGTTTTGTTCTGGTTCTTTGCAAGCCTTTAACATGCACATTAGAAAGTGTTTTCTTTGCCATTCGTTTGTGGGATCACTAGGGCTCCAATTACACTTTTTAAAGGGGCACTCTTTCTATTGAGAATGGGGATCCTGTCTCTCTTTTACCCTTTTTTTTCCTTTAGACTTTTTCCTTTCAAGAATTTTAGACTGCCAGCCTGGCCAACATGGTGAAACCTCGTCTCTACTAAAAATACAAAAAATTAGCTGGGTGTGGTGACACACACCTGTAATCCCAGCTACTCAGAGGCTGAGGCAGGAGAATTGCTTGAACCTGGGTGGTGGAGGTTGCAGTGAGCCGAGATCACACCACTGCACTCCAGCCTGGGCGACAGAGTGAGACTTGGTCAAAAAAAAAAAAAAAAGAATTTTAGACCGGCTATAGGAGATATGCTGTTTATCTCTGAATGTTTCTGCTGCCTATAAGGCTTTTCTGTGACAGAGTTTGGCTTAAAAGTAACATAGCATCTCTATGTTAGATTAAACACTTGGGTTAAATTTTGGAAAGCCTCTATATACGTATCAGGGTCATCAGAAAATCTGCCCAAGCTGTCCAAGTGTCTCTTTATTTCCCTAAGGTCCTGTAATGAGAAGGGAACATGTACCCTAGCGGTACCCCTTCCATCTGGCATTTCTTGTAGGGGTAGGAGTGAAACTGGGCAATGCGGAGTTTCAGAGATGGTGGAGCTGGAGGAGCTGATGGCACAATTGGAGGGGTCGCTGGATAAGGGAAACTGGAAGGACTGGGGTACTTAGAAGCCACCTCCAATGGCTCCTCTAAAACCTGCTCTTCTTAGGGGAACTACTCTCCATAGACCTGCCTGATATGATTGCTAAGAGGGCTGAGGTGATTGTGCAATGCTTGCAAAGGTCTGGGTTGTCTTGCAGGGCAGAGAAAGCCTGTACATAGGGGACCTTGGACCATTTGCCCTTCTGTCTACAGAAAAGATCTAATTGTTGGATAAGATTAAAGTCAAGGTTTCCTTCAGCTGGCCAGGTCTGTTCACTCTTGGGATGGTAAGACGACCATGCACTTGGGCAAAATAAAATTAGTTTTGGGGTCAAAGGAGTTCAAAATGCACTCCAGAGGTGTGCAGGCTGAAGATGGCTTGCTACCCATCCTAGAAAAGAGACAAGAGAAGAGGCATTCCTCAGTCTCCTTGTTCTTTTTGGTATGACCCAAGGTAGAGGGGAAGACAATGGGAGCGTCCCCCTGACTGTTCCCCTCCCTGGTCCCTGGGTCCCAGCACTGTGTGTGCCACCCAGTGGTTGCAGGCATGACCCTCAAACCATGGTCCCAGAGAAGCTAAATAATGGGGATAGTCACGCATACCCATGTAGCCTTTGTCCCCTGCCTGGTGATTGCCGTTTGATCTTCCAGACTTGTGTGACCTGCGTGGCTCCTTGATGGGTGAGTCTTGAGAGAGATTATGTAACAGTTGCATTTGAGCAAGGTCCTTTAATGGAGGGAGTATACTGGACTGAGCTTCATACTCTACTATTATGGACCGGACTAGAGAATGTATTCTTAGGTGGCAGTTCTAGTTAACTTCCAGACATAAAATCCCCTTTCTATTTAGATGCCATTCTAGTTGTAGGCGGAATAAGTGTCTCAAAAGAACATAAGGGTCAATTGGTGGGTGGCCTTCCTGCTAATGGAGAGTTGGTCAAAAAAAAAAAAAAAAAGAATTTTAGACCGGCTATAGGAGATATGCTGTTTATCTCTGAATGTTTCTGCTGCCTATAAGGCTTTTCTGTGACAGAGTTTGGCTTAAAAGTAACATAGCATCTCTCTCTATGTTAGATTAAACACTTGGGTTAAATTTTGGAAAGCCTCTATATACGTATCAGGGTCATCAGAAAATCTGCCCAAGCTGTCCAAGTGTCTCTTTATTTCCCTAAGGTCCTGTAATGAGAAGGGAACATGTACCCTAGCGGTACATGTTGAGACTAAAATTTGGTTTTGGAGGACATATTTCTCCTCATTGCTGAAAGCAGAGATCTCCTGCTTGCAGAGGGGGCATAACGTCGGTCTCTAGCAGATGTAAAAAAGAGAAGAACTGGAAAACTAGAGGCTTTTGGCAAAGGGCATACAAGGTCGCCCAGGGAGGGAATTCTCATCCCACTAGGTGGCGCTGTAAGCCTTGAAATACCAGGCAGTAACTTTGCCTCCATATGCCCTCTGAACAAAGGACAGAGAGGGAAGTCTGACATGTGGCAAGTTGTTCCCAGCATACCTCCTAGCAGGAGAAAGTTCATTTGTCTCATAGAGGGGCTATCCAGTACAACTGGGCAGTATTGGCTCCCCACATGGGAAAGGAAACAGCCCAGGTGGAAAGAGAGATGTTCGCTGGGTGGGGCATGACCTCCTACCCAACCCCAGGAAGTGCTATCATTAGGAGTTAAGTAGTCTTTGAGATCTGGATCATGAAGTCCCCCTGTCTGTAGAAAGTCACGAAAACAGCAAACTTTGACCTGCATTCCTGATTGCTAAGGTGGTTGCTAAGCTTGCCTAATTGAATTATTTCCCCGGGATGTAAAAACTCCTACAGCAGTGCATACAGAGACGGCACAAGAGACATGGTGACTGTGGAAAGGAAAGGAGGAAACTAAGGTTCGCATAGGAAAGCTTGGTGATCCTATGGCCGACACCTGGTTGGGCAATTGGAGGCTGGGGTCAGTCCAGGAGTAGCCCTGGCCAGAAATCCTCAGTTGCTCCAGGACCTCTTCCAGACCCATGCAATAGCAAAGTTGTGTGTGACAGAAAACTAGTTTGGACAGAGCCAACATTCCCAGCACCATGAGGGCACTGGGGATGGACTAAGTCCTCCCCAGCAAGCCTCACATTTGAGTCTTTTAAGACCGGCAGCTAGCCCTTGTGGCTCATTAATCAGCAGACAGATACCTTGTTTTTTTGATAGTTCTTTGAGAGAATAAAAACTGAGGATGAGAAGCCTCAGAAGTGAAAGTAGAGAGTCTGCTCCCTTACCCTTCTGATTAATTCACCTTCAAATCCTGGGCGAGCCCCCAAAATGAAGCAGCCTCATTGTCTGGGGTAAACACCAAGGTTCTTGGTCTCATGGCCAAGGAAATTGAGGTTGCAGACAAACCCACACAGAAACTGGAGCAGGAGTTTAACAGGTAAAAGGAAAGAACAGCTGTCAGAGAGGGGTCCCCAGTGGGTTTCCAGTAAAAATGTCAGGGTTTTTATACATGGGCTACTGAGGAAGGGGGCATCTTATCCTCCTAGGGCCTGAAGCTTTAGTTGGGACCAGGTGTGCTATCTGCATAGAGCATGAGTTTCTATCAGCCTTTACCTGATTCCTTGACAACCTAGGCAGACTCTTAATCTGTGTTGCTGTGTGCTGCTTTGTGTCACTTATTTGGGAGGGAGAGTTTCTGTGACTGTTCCCAGACATTTTTTTCCAGCTGCAGGTATCCCCCTCCAATATCCACTTCTGGCTTCCCTAGCTTAGTGTGCCTAAAGGAAAGGAATGTGCTTATTAAGGCCCACTGTTTTTACTGGGGCCCACTATATGAGTGTGAAGTTTGGTGATTACCCGGGAGACTCACCCCCTCCTTCTGTGCCCCAGTTGTTTATCTGTGTTTTACAGCCTCATCTTCTTACCTGTCCATGTGCAGCCTGAGTTTTTTCCAAGGTTGTTTTATTTTTTGCCTGTTGCTGTGTGACTTTTCAGGCAGGCTGCTTCTGCAGTCTGAATTTTTCCAATCATTTTTCCCTTTCCTTCTCCCTCAAAAACAAGTTAGGTAAGCTTCATTCAGGCATGAATTACAGTGCTATTGCCTGTTAGTTCAATGTTAATGAACCAACAATATATATTAAATGTACAATTAAATAGAAATACACAAAACTATGCATTGATCAATTGTTTAAAATGCTATGAACAGAGCCTTGCAGGAACCTAACTCTGTATTTCCCCTAGGAGCAATGATTAGTAACTAAAGTATGGGAACTTTATAGAACATAACTACCATGAATAATGAGAATTGACTGTACCTTAGTCTACAACCAGATTATAAATATCTTGAAGAATCTCTCATTCATCTTGTGTGTAACACGTAGTGCACTATAGTGCAACATGTAGTACAGTTAAATTCATTGACATTTTCTAAAAATTATTCCTTGATACCAGCGAATAGACCTACTTGTTTTCAGATTTATATGCCTTTACAGATATGTTTATTAGACACAAAGAGGGTTCATAGATGACCTAGGTCAAAGGCTAGAACATGCAGACATACTTTTAAGAACAATAAATTTAGAAATGCTTTGAAACAAATGACAACCACAGATATAAAAAAGTGCTTTTTAATTTTTAGCCAGAATGGTCAAGTTGATGTAGATTTTTTTTACTGGAATACTCATAATAATGTCTGTCTATATGCCTTAAGCAAGATTATTATTTAATAAAATATGGCAGGAAGTTGTAATTTATGGAAAATTTACAATTATTCTTTAAAATACTTTTATAAAATTATAAATTGATAATAATCCCCCCAAACTGAAGTGAAATACTTTTAATACTACTTGAAATTAAAGTACAGTTGTTTATACAACAATGAATAAGGACAAGATATCAAACTGAAAATTCAAAAATAAACAGAAGAAATGTAAACAGTTCTAAAATATCAGTATTTATAAATGTTGCTTAGAGGAAGGCTATTCAAAGCATGGTCCATTAACTATTTGTGAGCTGTCCAGAATGAAAGAGGCTTGTGCCAGAATGAAAATCAATTACATCACTAATCATACTGGCTCAGTTGACTTTTTTTAAATAACAAGACTTCTTTGATAAAGGAAGCAATGTGTTGATTTATATTCTGGCACAAGTACCTTATTACTGACTAGAGCAGGGGTCCCCAGTCCCCAGGCCACGACCGGGCTGCATAGAAGGTGGGGGGCGGTGCCAAGCATTACTGCCTGAGCTCAGTTTCCTGTTAGATCAGCCATGGCATTAGATTCTCAAAGGAGCTCGAATCCTGCTGTGAACCACACGTGCAAGAGATCTAGGTTGCATGCTCCTTATGAGAATCTAATGATAAATGTAATGTACTTGAATCATCCTGAAACCATCCCCCTAAACCCCCAGTCCTGTGGAAAAATTTTCTTCCACAAAACCCGTCCCTAGTGCCAAAACAGTTGGAGATCGCTCCACTAGAGAACAGTTAACGGCTTACTTCCTTTAAAGTGCCATTACAATTTCACTGCTCAGAGCTAGGTTCTTTACTGTAGGGAAAATAATTAAAATGACAATTGCAATTGTCATCTATATATCATCTATTTAAAAATCCCATCTATTTAGGGATCCTACCCAAAAAGCAAATTTAACTTTAAATTATCACAACATAACACTTATCTTCTCATGTGTTCAAGTGTTACTGACATTTGTCCACTCACAGGGGCTCTCTAGATTCCTACTTTAGAGAAATACATTATGCTTTTCAATCTTGGGAGAAAAAGAGTAAGAATTGAATCATTTGCTAAAAAGCTCTTAAATGATTGGTCTATTTTCATATTCCAATCAATAACGTTATTTAAATTCACACCTTTGTAAAAAGAGTGGATTTTTATATTCTTTGTGCAATCACTAGTTGCTTTTTTACTATAAAACTTAATATCAGGAAAAAAGGCATGGAAATTTACAGCTCTGTATTCTACTACTTAAAGGTAGATGTAAAGTATTTTAAGATTTTCAGACATTTGTAAAAATGTCTTTTAACAAATGAACTTATAATTTAAAATTCAAATATTTCTTGATTTTTTGGGGGATGGCATGATTCCTCTAAAAATTAAAAATATAATATGGTCTTCAGAAACATAATCATTTCATTATCCAATGACTTACTAAACTTTACTTGCATTATCTTAATACCAAAGGCAAGTAAATGGACAATCAACAATTTAGAAACAACTCATCAGTTTTAGATATACAAGGGCTCAATTTAGATTATACAACGTCTAGTTTATTGGACCAACAAACTACTTAAAGAATTTAAATGTCATAAGAAGAGAACATAAAGTCATATAAAGAATATAAATGTCATAATTTATATGTCATAAGAAAAGAGCTCCTGGGCGGGGGCGCAGTGGCTCACGCCTGTAATCCCAGCACTTTGGGAGGCCGAGGCGGGTGGATCACTTGAAGTCAGGAGTTTGTGACCAGCCTGGCCAACATGGTGAAACCCCGTCTCTACTAAAAATACAAAAATTAGCTGGGCACGGTGGCATGCGCCTGTAATCCCAACTACTCAGGAGGCTGAGACAGGAGAATTGCTTGAACCCGGGAGGCAGAGGTTGCCGTGAGCTGAGATCATGCCACTGCACTCCAGCCTGAGAGACAGAGCAAAACTCCATCTCAAAAAAAAAAAAAAAAAAAAAAAGCTCCTTTGGCACCTGAGTTGAGCACAATATACCACAGCAAAGAATCTTGAAAAGTGTCTAAAGAATGTATTGTATCTATCTATAGATATATACATACACCTGTACATACACACATGTGCACACATACACACACAAGTAGAGAAAACTTTTCCTTAACAAATGCTGAAGACATTAAAGGAATTCACCATGTGGTCAAATAAAGTGACCTGATAGTTATTCAAAAAGTTTTAAGTTATTATTAAAGAATTTGGAAACTTACCAAAATTTTGAGAAGTTAAAGGTCTAAAGGGGGAACATCAGGTTGTTGTTACCATTTGTCAAACTATTTCTTCTGATACAGCAACATGGTCATGAGATCACAGTTATCGTAACATGATAACAGACCAATATAACGGTCATCAGGTGAAAATTCATAAAAGATTACCCGAAAAGGACTAACTTTCCCCATCATTAGGGCTGGATATAGTCTCTAGCCATAAGCAAACATTTTGCTCTCCCTAGTCTCTTGCATTGGTCCCAGCAAAAGACCACAATGAGGGGCCACTCTGCAGATGGCTTTAAGCTGAGCCTCCTCACTCACTAGGAATTTCACACAAGAACTTCAGACGAGCCTGATGTCATGTTTTATGATCACATCAGTCTTGCTACCGCTGACTCGGGCACTGTGTTAATAGACCTACCGGTGCTGTAATTTTTTATGCATACTTTTAGAACTCTGAATGACTGGCTTGTATTCTAAGATGCAGAAGACATCTAAAATTCAGTAAGCTGTCTGAGTGTGTCAACATTTTCTTCTATATTCAATTAATAAATATGTTTGACTAAAAATACAGAATATTTAACTATACCTAAGTATCTTCTACTCTAGAAATTCTGGAGGATTAAAAAACTCTACACTTGCATACCAAATATCTCCATCTTCCAGACCTTATCAGATCTCAAGTAGGTTGGGAGGAGGAAAAAGACATTTGCGTTAAAATACGAAGGCATGCTACTCTTTCCTCTGCTCCAACTTGTAAAGAATATCCCTGATCAGGTTTCTAACTCCCTCTTTGCTCTAGTTAAAGGATCTCTCTCATATAACAGACCACAGAGAATGAAAATCTTACGAAGTTTCAAAATATTTGTAATTGAAAGACATTTTCAATTGTAAAATGTCTCTTGAGCATCTATAAAGTAGAAATTATTTTGGCTTAAACTTCATACTGCTTTCCTAAACAAATTATGTTGATAGAGGCATGGTATAAGAGTCACCTTAGAGAGAGAACCTATTAAATTCCAATGTCTTCACTGTGTTCAGTTTACACCAACTATAATAAAACTCAAGCCACTTTTTTTGTTGATATGCAAAACATTCTGGTAAGTTCATTTGAAGTTGAATTATTTCATTAACATGTAAACTCACATGTACAATTTTACTTTTTGTCATATATTTAAATATTTTCTTATCTGCAGAGCTATCTCAGGATATGAAATCATAACATGCTAGCAACTAGTAATTTAACATTAAAACACTTCCCTAAATTATTCCATGGAAAAGTGCATTTACAATATAAACATGTCATATATGAAGCTACAAATCATAATCTCACTGGAGTGGATATAAAATTTCAAATTCAGTCCAAATGAGTCAAAGAAAAAAGTGCTAACAGAGCAAATCTGAAACAAGTTCATGGGGATTGGGTAATGAGTCATCGAAACGAAATCTTTTGGAAACCATGCTGCTATCCTCTGGGATATTCTCTTTGTCTTCTCTATCACCACAGGTTCCATTACAGGAGGATTTAGAAGTCTTGTCTTCAGAGGACCTTACAGAATGATCCTGAGTTTGAGAGGAACTGGAAGTTTCTTCAGGGTGAAACAAGTTTTCAAAGTCCCACTGCTGTAGCCAAGAATGAGAAAGGCATATCTCTGCTGTTGGTCTTTTCCTTTGAAAGAAAGCACCAAGGGAAAATTGAGAACTAAAAATCAAGTTGAAAATGTCTTCAGTTTGATAGATTATAGACATATTTTTTACTTCTTGTGAAAATAAAACATACTCATAGTATAAAATCCAAACAGTACAGAAGAGAATAATAATGATAATAGCTGCTAACATTTACTGAATGCTTAGTTATATGCCAGGGACTATTCTATACGCTTCAAATACATTATTTAACAATCATAACAAACTCATGAAATGGGTACTATTATTACCCTCATTTAACAGATATGCAAAGTAGGGTACCAGGAGGCTTGAAATTTACCCCAAATCTCCTAACTTGTAAATGGTAGTTAAGTGGAACTTTGACTCTATCGTCTGTGCTTTTAAGCATTACACCATATTATCTCTCATGAAGATAAAAAGTAAAATTGTTTTCTCATTCCCCAATCCCACTTCCAGATATTTTTTCTACATATATGTGCATATACATACACAAACATATACACACACATACACATACACAGCTTCACATACTCCATGTTTCTGCAATTTGCTTTATTACTCAATAATGCATCTCAAGCATTTTTCCACATCAGTACAGAGTTAACATATTTATTAACAGCTGTATTATTTAGTACTCTTCCATATGGATACACCATAATTTATTTAACCAGATGCCCATTGAAGCTTCTAGCATTTTGCTATTATAAATATGCTTCAATGAATATTGAGAAAATGTTTTTTGGGATCTTCTCTAATTATGTTCATAGGATGAGTTACTAGTAAAGCTAGTGGGTCTTTATATTTTGAAAGACGGTGCTTAACTAACCTCCAAATCACTTTTGGTTTTTTTTTGGTTTTTTTTTTTGCAATGTAGTCTCACTCTGTCACCCAGGCTGGAGTGCAGTGGTGCGATCTCAGCTCACCACAACCTCTGCTTTCTGGGTTCAAGCAATTCTCCTGCCTCAGCCTCCTGAGTAGCTGGAACTATAGGTGCATGCCACCATGCCCGGCTAACTTTTGTATTTTTAGTAGAGATGGTGTTTCACTATATTGGCCAGGCTAGTCTCGAACTCCTGACCTCATGATCTGGCCGCCTTGGCCTCCCAAAGTGCTGGGAATACAGGCGTGAGCCACCTCGCTCAGCTGACTCGCTTCTTTTGTAAGGTTGTCAAAGGGCATCCAATCCTTCAAGATTTCACAATCAGTAAATGATACTTGTTATGTATGTAAAATTATTTTATTTTATTTATTTTTTTGAGACGGAGTCTTGCTCTGTCATCTAGGCTAGAGTGCAGTGGCGCGATCTCTGCTTACTGGAAGCTCTGCCTCCCGGATTCACGCCATTCTGCCTCAGCCTCCCAAGTAGCTGGGACTACAGATGCCTGCCACCATGCCTGGCTAATTTTTTTGTATTTTTAGTAGAGATGGGGTTTCACCGTGTTAGCCAGGAGGGTCTCAATCTCCTGACCTCGTGATCCATCTGCCTCAGCCTCCCAAAGTGCTGGGATTACAGGCGTGAGCCACCGCGCCCGGCCGTAAAATCATTAAACTGTAAATCATTTACAATAAAGTCTTATCATAACCAGCCATGTGTATTGTAAATTTCTATGACTAATTATTTTAGGTAATTTCAGGGATTAGTAGTGGTTTGTGAGAGAAGTAACTCAAATCTTTTCTTTACTTCAAAATCCCCTGTTGTATATTTTATATCTGAAGTTATGTATTTGTTAATGATTGCTCATACCACCTATTTTACCTAGAACTTGTACATATTTCTAATAATTTTATACTATTTTAGAATATACTTTCTTAATAGGTATATATTATTTATTCTGTAATAGTATTTAAACAAATTAAATTTGTAATAGTATTTAAACAAATTATTACTTACTCTGGATTTTTTACTAAAAGGCTCTGAATAAAGTCTGTGGCCAGCTGTGAAACTGATGAAAAAGTTTCTTCCGAATAATCTACATTAACTTGAGAAATATTGAGGTATGTTTCTTGATTATCTTCTCCCACAAATGGTGATGTGTGAGTTAACAACATATATGCTATTATACCAATATTCCTGAAAAACAAGGGAGGGGAACTTAAAATGTATGTTAATTTTTAAACATTTATACAAAGTACAATCGACATTCAACATACTCCTCTCCTCAAAACTGGTACGGTTAAACTACAGATTTACATTGCTTTTCAAAGTTCCTATATTATTAAAACTAAAATAATGATCTCAAAGTGTGCCTCACAGAAAGAGAACACAAGGGAATGCACGTGTTATATAAATACAATGTATTCAATATATATTATTGCTACCGTCTATCCTTCACACAGATACCTGCCGTGGAGTACACAAAGCTGCTGCAGCATTTCCTAAGTGGTTTCCAATGGCAAAGTAATGACTTGTGAGATGTAAAGAGAGGTTCTGCACAAATAGAGGCTGCAAGTTTGGCGAAGCACAAAGCTGGGCAGGCAAATTTTTTCACTGCAAACCTTTTAAAATCTGTAAATGTGTTAATGGCAAGTCTGGTGCCCAGGAGCCAGAAAAAGACAATATAGTACATGTTTCACCAACTTATTTAGCCATACCATCTTTTTTCCTGGGCAAACCCATGAGCAGTTCCACAGAACACAGAACAGGTCTAAACCTTCCACTTGGTCTGAGGAGTCAGTCCCCTTTGTGGTCTCAACTGAAGCTCCAGTATCAGTTCTGGTTCTATTCCCTATGGTATTCTCTCTTGGCTAGCTACAAAAACTCATAATTTCCCAGAGATGTACTCTCATAAAAGTACATTTTTGGGTGGGCCTGACCTAATTATTCTGCTTAACAAATACCTTCTTCTAGCTTTTTTTTTTTTTTTTTTTTTTTGTCACCCAGGCTAGAGTGCAATAGCATGATCTTGGCTCACTGCAACCTCTGCCTCCCTGGTTCAAGTGATTCTCCTGCCTCAGCATCCTGAGTAGCTGGGATTACAGGTACGCGCCACCACGTCCAGCTAATTTTCATATTTTTAGTAGAGATAGGGTTCTGCTATGTTGGCCAGGCTGGTCTCTAACTCCTGACCTGATGATCCACCTGCCTTGGCCTCCCAAAGTGCTGGGATTACAGGTGTAAGCCACCACGCCCGGCCAACTCTTTTAGACCTAGATCAGATGTCTCCCTTTGTGAGGTGGAGCCCGGCAATGGACTGTCTGCTGCTGCTTCTATGCTTATTAAGCATTTCACCTTCATCATAAAATATGTAGCAATGTACTGCAAGTATTTTGTTCTTTTACTCAACTGAGTTTTCATCACAGAGAGAGATTTTCCTATTAATTTCTGTACTTTTGGCTCAGAAGTTAAGTGTTATTTAAAAATAATGGAAAGGTAAATATTTTCCTGTAGCATAATAATGATATTCAAATAAAATCTTTTGAAGAAAGCCTTATTATTTATTACTCTTGGAGTCAAAGAACCCCAGAATATACGTTTCCCAACTTTCCATAAAGATGTTTAAGGTAACTAACAACATCTTACCACATATCTGTTGCTGTGGTAATGGGATCATAGTTCAGGATTTCTGGAGCTGAAAGAAAAGATAAAACTTAAATTCAATATTGACAAATTTTAAAACAAGAAAATCACTTTATATTACGTTATAACTGGGACTGGGCATGATGGCTCATGCCTGTAATCTCAGCACTTTGGGAGGCTGAGGCAGGCAGATCACCTGAGATCACAGTTCGAGACCAGCCTGGCTAACATGGTGAAACGCTGTCTCTACTAAAAATACAAAAATTAGCCAGGTGTGATGGCACATGCCTGTAATCCCAGCTACTCAGGAGGCTGAGGCAGGAGAATCCCTTGAACCCGGGAGGCATAGGTTGCAGTGAGCTGAGATCCCACCACTGCACTCTAGCCTGGGCAAGAGTGAGACTCTGTCTCGGAAAAAATAAAAATTGTAACTGGATTTAATTTTGGAAAGCCTAGTGATATAAGACGATAGAAATTTAGAAATTTAGCACAGTATTAATTATCCTATGATTGGACATTTAAACATCCCTATTATTGAGTAAATTATATGATCAGGTGGTTCAAAAACATGGATAATATTCTTGGAGTAATTAGTGGCTAGGTAGTTAAACTCATTTAGGTTAATCTCAGAAAAAAACAATTATAAAAAAGTAAAACTCTGGAAGCTAGAATTTAAAAAAAAAATTAGTTTTATTACTTTAGAATTAATTTGCATTATTTTCTTAGATTAATTTAGGTTTTTCTTTTGGGGTAAATAGGATCATGTGCATCTGCAATGACATCATGAGCAAATTTTGCTTCTCGGAAATGCTAGATTTTCTTTTTTCTGACGGAGTTTCGCTCTTGTTGCCCAGGCTGGAGTACAAATGGCATGATGATCTTGGCTCACTGCAACCTCCACCTCTTGGATTCAAGCGATTCTCCTGCCTCAGCCTCCCAAGTAGGTGGGACTACAGGCATGCACCACCACACCTGGCTAATTTTGTATTTTTAGTAGAGATGGGGTTTCACCATGTTGGTCAGGCTGGTCTCGAACTCCTGACTTCAAGTGATCCACTCGCCTTGGCCTCCCAAAGTGCTGGGATTACAAGTGTGAGCCACTGCACCCAGCCAGAAATGCTAGATTTTCCAGTGAATTAAACATTCCTCTTAAATTATCAAGGACCTAATTTCCAAAGCAATTAATTTTCTGCTGTCTTCACTTGCCAAAAAAAAAAGTGCAAAATAAATTCTCTATGCTTTCTAAACATTACCATATTATTTCGAATTAGTACAGTCCAAACTAGGATTTATGAGTGAAAAATAAGTTTCTTGTTTCACAATATGGTTTCATAATTTCTCCAAAGAGAAACTGTTTCCTAAAGCCTAACATTTTTATTAATAAAGCCTTTAAATCATATACAGTCAGCTTCTGTTAAACCACCTACATTTTCACATACTTCTGTGAGCTGTGTTACCAATAATTACATTCATTTATTCTAGGACTATAGCCCCAGTTAGCATTCAAAAGTTAGTAATTTTCTCTGCTTTTTATTTTTGGAAAAGACAGCTGCCTAGCTGAGTCGCATCTGTTCTGTTTAACTGTATCTTTTCAATGTCCACATGGGGACATCAGTATAAACAATAAACAGAAAAAAGAAAAAAGATTATAAGTTAAAATACTTCAAATTTATATACTGCTTCATACAACTTAAAAACCTTTCATATGCATAATCTAATTTGTTGATTTCACACAATATGCCCAGATTACCTAATCAAAGGTTCTTTTTGGCACTCTTCTTCAAAACCCTACTTTCACAACCCTATGCAAAACCTCATATTCTAAAGCAGCAGCAATAAACAAAAATGAGGTGGCCGGCTAACAATTCCTGTAAGTTTAAACTGAAGATATCTGTATTGTGAACAGCTCTGGAATTGGGACCAGAAATAGAAGTGAGATCTAGCCAACAGCCAGGCTTCAAAGACAATCATGGGCCACTTCACTGCAGCAGTTTTTCTTTTTCCATTTTTCTCTTTTTCCCTAACTTCCCTCTTACCCATTTCTTTTTTCCTTATGTACAAATCCTTTATACACAAACATTCAACTTGTACACTTACATATTCAGTGTCCCCTGAATTGCTGTAAATGTTTCATACTTTTATTCATTTCATTTAAATGTGTCTTAACCTAACCAAGTTTTAATGTATCAAAATACTTGAACCAATCAAATCCTTTTAACTGAATCGAATTACATGCTCTAAAATATAGTTCTACAGAGGTATCATTTACTTAATAAATTTCAAAATGGTATAGAAAATAAAAGGAAATTCTTACCTAAATATTCTGGTGTTCCCATGATTTCCCGAAGTTCACACGCATGCCCTATTTTTCGAGACATTCCAAAATCTACTATTTTAATGTCCCCGAGAGGGTATATGCTGCTCAGTAATATATTCTGTGGCTAAACAAAGTACAACAAAAACATGATAAGTAATATACAAAAAAGCATACTAGTCTCAGATGGAAAGTATATTAAGTGGAAGATATTGCTCAGCTATTATACATTTCATTGAGTCATGCATCAAACATTTACTGACTTACTACTTAGGCGGAGCTATTATTCAATGATGCATAAAGCCAAAAACACACCCAAAAAGGATTCTAGGTTTGAAGAGAAAAGAAGTTAAATGGAAAGATTAAGATATAGAATACTCAGTAATAAAAAGACTGCCTCATTCTGTCAATAAGAAATTCCAAGAAGGCTTTGCAGTAGAGATGATGCGTAAGCTGAGACTTAAAAGAGTATGCTGGTTAGAAAGGTGCTCTGGGTAGCTGGGTACGGTGGTGTCAACCTGTAGTCTCAGCTACTCTGGAGGCAGGGGTGGGAGGATCGTTTGAGCTCAGGAGTTCAAGAGTAGCCTGTGCAACATAGTGAGACCCTCTCTTAAATAAAAAAAAAATTAAAAAATTAAAAAAAAAAAGAGGCCGGGCATGGTGGCTCACGCCTGTAATCCCAGGACTTTGGGAGGCTGAGGTAGGCAGATCACGAGGTCAGGAGATCAAGACCATCCTGGCTAACATGGTGAAACCCCGCCTCTACTAAAAATACAAAAAAATCAGGCGTGGTGGCAGGCACCTGTAGTCCCAGCTACTTGGGAGGCTGAGGCAGAAGAATGGCGTGAACCCGGGAGGTGGAGCTTGCAGTGAGCCAAGATCGCACCACTGCAATTCAGCCTGGGCGACAGAGCGAGACTCTGTCTCAAAAAAAAAAAAAAAAAAAAAAAAAAAAAAAAAAAAAAAGAACAACAGAAAGGTGCTCTGGGGAACAGCACAAAAGAAGGCATAAAGGAATGAGAACGTAAACATTTCCAGAAATGAAAAATGGTTCAGTACAATGGGATGATTCTGGATGAGCCAGGTCTGACTGTTCCCTGGCTTTAGCTTAGACAATAAGAGGGCATAGTACACCTCATCCATTGCCTCCTAAAACCACGTGACTTTGCTTTACTACTACTGCAGGCCCACGGCCTATTACAAAGTCCCCTGCTGCTGTCATAACCCATACCTCTGCCAAGGTGCTGCTCCCAAAATCTGTGCAAAGAATTATAACAGTCGCTTAACTTTGGGGCAATCTCATGCTTGTTTATTACTAAAGCACAGAGCCTATTACAGGAGAAAAGGTAAAGGTAATTAGCTCTGTTGTTGTCAACCACAGGTTTATATGCCATCCCACTTCAAGGGCTATGTGATGCTATGTAATGTACTTGGGTTGATGTTAGCAGGAAAATGACCCAACAGGAAGCTGGTGGGAGCGTGATTATCTTGGCATTTACTGTGTTGCTTCTTTTCCAATATTTTATCAGTTGGGGAAATAGCAGGGATACTAGATGGTAAATACTGTCCCCCTGCTCCATAGTGGGGCCCAAAACAGAACTACAGGGTTTTTTCTTTTGAAAAAGCGGTAAGAGGATTTGGAAATTAAGGGAGAGGCCTGGGCTGTAGGTGGAGATTTTTGAATTATTATTATTATTAAAGTGGTAATAGAAGCCAAAGGGTCATGCAAGGACACCATATAAAAACAGAAGAATCTAATGCTCAAAAAATGAGACACAGACTGATTCAGATCTTAAGGTCCTTGTGTGGTTATGAAAGAAGGATAAGGAGAAAGGATAACAACATGAGAGATGGAGATAAGAGACTGGAGGTTCGGGGCTTGGGTAAAGAGCCTGAACGATCTGGAAGAAGCCAAAAGACTGAAAACCTCAAGACAAAAATGAATGAAGGTAATAGGAGCAAATGCATGAGGATTAGCAGGATTTATTTTCAGAGATGGAGATTACACAATTGAGCATTTCAGAGATAGACAGCATTTTAAAATAAGAAGGTCCAGGATGTGGTTGTAAGAGTGGGATGGAATGGAATAATTCCATCTAATGTAGGATTAGAACACAGGAATGATGCATTTTAAGAGCCCAGTAATTTGAGCTGCTTACACATGCACTCTTCTCCTTTCTGCCAATATAAAATTAAGGCCACATAGGCACACGTAAGCAAAGAGCACACCAGTGCAGTCTAGAAGACCAGGAACCAACCATTGTTTCCTGTTAATACCAGTTTGCAACTGTGCATACTAAGAGCAGAAGAAGAACACAGATGTTGCATTACTTTAAATCACGTTACGTTACCTTTAAATCAAGGTGTACAATGTTATTCTGATGTAGATAATAAACTCCTTCAAGTATTTGTTTAATGAGTCTGATAACATCATTTTCAGAAACCATTTCAGCCAACTCAGGTAAACACAGGCTGAAAATTTCTCCACCTGCAGCACTAAAATAAAATTCAAAGAACAGAGACTTGAAAATTCATTCACCTAAACACTTTTAAATATTGTGTACCTGTTAAGTAAAAGACATACAACTATATAAATGTTAATACGTTACACTTAAAAATAGGGCAGGGAAGTGAGAGATCTTTAAGGAAAAAAATAAGTGATGATGGCTGGGTGCGGTGGCTCATGTCTGTAATACCAGCACTTTGGGAGGCTGAGATAGGCGAATCACTGAAGGTTGGGAGTTCGAGATCAGCTTGGCCAACATGGTGAAACATCTCTACTAAAAACACAAAAATTAGCTGGGTGTGATGGCAGGTGCCTATAATCTCAGCTACTTGGGAAGCTGAGGCAGGAGAATCACTTGAACCTGGGAGGCAAAGGTTGCAGTGAGCCGAGATGGCACCACTGCATTCCAGCCTGAGCTACAGAGCAAGACTCCGTCCCCAAAAAAAAGAAAAAAGAAAATAAGTGATGAGACTATTTCAAATTCTGGGTACTAATACTTGAATATTAATAAATAAAACTGAATTGCTTTATGATCCAATAATGTTGCAGCCTGCCTTCACTGCAATAAAGATAATAAAAATAGTAGCTCTTTGTGCTCTCCTCATATATGTACATCTATATGTATTCATATATATACATATGTTTTCATATATATGAATTCTTATATATATATCATCTATTTTGAGCCTCATGACAAACATGTGAGGTACATGGTTACTACACCCATTTTACAGTAGAAACAAGTACAATTAGGTTAACAAACTTGAATATGAGTAAGAATCTGCATTCTTAGCCAATACCATCTTGTACTGTAGCTTCATGCAGAATACTTGGGGCCAGAACACAAATAAATAAATAAATAAATTCTAAAGAACTGAAATTTAAAGAATGCTGAAAAAGGCACAGTGAAAAATTCCTAGGTTTGGAATGAATTATCGAAACATAAATCCTAACTCTTCTATTTACCTGCAATATAACTTAGGGTCAGTTACTTATAGTCATCCATAAAGCAGAAATATCAATAAAATCCACAGATTTTTTTAGGAGGGATTAAATCTAAATAAGATAAAATTAGAACATCATGCAAAAACATTTATACAGTTATTCATCAAATTTGTAAGGTATATTTGGGAATACACAAGTATATTCTATTTGATAAAATAGTAACTCACTCTGGAAAATACTATTACTCTATTTTTACTTCTTTGGCTCACTGCTACAACCACATCAAGAACAGTATCTAGCATGCACTGCAGTAGGTGGTCAGTAATGTTTGTTGAATGAATGAATGATGGAATGGGCAGCGATTCTTTAGAGGGGTTGAAGCTGGGGATTCAGAAGTCTCAGTGACTGCCAAGAGGAAAAAATATGTCATAAGTGTTAGGAGCCATAAGAAGAAAAAATAATGGTGGGCTCAAATTTCAGTCCCAAGTTGAAAGTCACAAGGACTGACACTTCACACTCTAGATATAATTTGCAATTGAGCAATCTAAACACAGTAAGCCAGTTAGAAGCCGCAAACATATGGTGCTTTACACTTTCTGACTTTGCAGAAAAAAACTCTGTAGGACAGCTTATAAGGAATACACGTGAAAGCTCCAATCACATATATGTCACTTTAACCCCATTACACTCACCAAAACTTGCTGTAAATTCATGAGACATAATATATTTTTTTTTTTTTTGAGATGGAGTTTCACTCTGTTGCCAGGCTGGAGTGCAGTGGCGCCATCTCGGCTCACTGCAACCTCCACCTCCTGGGTTCAAGAGATTCTCCTGCCTCAGCCTCCCGAGTAGCTGGGACTACAGGTGCATGCCACCACGCCCGGCTAATTTTTGTATTTATTAGAGATAAGGTTTCGCCATGTTGGCCAGGATGGTCTCGATCTCTTGACCTCGTGATCTGCCCATCTTGGCCTCCCAAAGTGTTGGGATTACAGGTGTGAGCCATCGTGCCTGGCCGAGACATTAATTTTAATATCTACCTCAACATATCATGATAAAGATAATCTGAGTATTGAAAAGTGTAGTTTGCTATTAAATTTATAGTAGTGAACTCCAAAATAAGGTATAGAAAGACAATTTTGGGAATTCACATTTTCTTAATCTAAAAAAAGAAATACACTAATCTTCAAGAATAATTAATATACACACTGCCTAGCGGCCCTTGGTCTGCATGTCAGTATTCATTTCTCACACCCCTTCTCAAGGTCTCCTGAGGGCAGAGTGGGAATCCAGGCACAGACTGGCAGTGACACCATCACTCCTTCCCTTTCCGGCTACACTGTTTAGTTTCAATGATACAAATCGTCTCAAAACAGAAAGTGGTCTAAATATATTCCTGCAAAGACAGTCAAAATAATATTACAAATAATATTATATTAGGTAATAGTACTAATGCAATCATAAGCAAATAAGAAAATGAAGAAAGAACACTTTAGATTCTCTTAGAATATATTTTTTGTTAGGTACTTTACAAGATATAAATACTGATAATCTAGTCCTATCTTATAAAAATCAGACCAAATAACTTGAAATTATTAGAAAACAGTATAAAATATGAATTTACATATTTACACCCCCTAAATATATAAAAAATAGATGTGTATTCTTCATTTGTACAGCAACATAAATTGTTTAGGTAAGACATTTATTCTTGAATACTTTATGATTATTTACCAACATTTTATATTACAAATTCGTTAAAGTTACTTCAATAACCAGAACACTCCACCAATTCTAAAATTAAAAACAAAATACAAGAAAGTAAAGTGAAAGTATGGAAAGCAATTCCCAGTGCCTAGGAAGAGACAGGATAGCATGGTGCATATAGGAGTGCTTACTGAAATCAAGACTGCCTGGGTTTCACTCTAGCTCTGTCACTAACTAGGCTAGGTGAACTGGGACAAAATGTGCCTCTGTTTCTTCTACTGTAATGTGAATAATAGAATAGCTCCTACTTCATGGTCTAAGAATTAAATTGGATAATCCACATAAAGTATTGAGCACAAACATCCTAGAAGAATCAAAGCAGATCGTTTCAATAAATACTTATCACAGTGTCTGACACACGGTAAATATTCAATAGATAACAGCTATTTTTTTTTTTTTTTCCTGAGACTGAGTCTTGCTCTGTCGCCCAGGCTGGAGTGCAGTAGTGCAATCTCTACTCACCGCAACCTCCCCGTCCTGGGTTCAAGCAATTCTCCTGCCTCAGTCTCCCGAGTTGCTAGGACTACAGGCGCGTGGCACCACACCCGGCTAATTTTTTGTATTTTTTAGTGGAGACTGGGTTTCACCGTGTTAGCCAGGATGGTCTCCATCTCCTGACCTCGTGATCCGCCCGCCTCGGCCTCCCAAAGTGCTGTGATTACAGGCATGAGCCACTGGGCCCAGCCAATATCAGCTATTATAATGAGCCAACAAACATTAATTGCAAATCTAGCCAACATCTCGCCTTTCCAAATTTTGGGACTTTTTGTTGAACTCTGATTTTGAAGGAAATTTTTAAAGTCTTTGCTAAATTAAAATCTATTTTTAGAAACACTATATGGTACATATAAAGATGCACACACTATATTCTTAAGTGAAAAAGGAGAGTTACAATAGAATATGCCCAGTAGATCAAAATGTTGTCTCTAAAAGTACATACGCACAGACCAAAAAATAAGAATAATTTTTAAATACAGGAACATATCATAAAGTAACCATCATTTACATGTGATTTCCCTTTTCTGTATCTCCTAAATTTAACACAATGAATGGGTGTTACTTTTATAATCAGGGAAAGTATCCTCAGAGTTTTTTGCTTGTTTTAATAATAAGATCAAATAAAATACTATGATTGTCAGCCAATCACACTGTCTCTTCCTTTTAGTTTGACAAGCTGACCAATGTATTTCGTAGGACTGCCATTTCTCACACAACAGAGGAACATAGGTGGAGCTACAGAAAATACGAAAATTAGGAAGACTTAAGAGGAGGGAAAGAACTGATAACACAAGCAGCAAATTGCAGAAGTTGGCAGAAATTGGAAAAAGAAACAGAAGCAGTGAGTAGCAAACAAGACTTCTGTTAAGGAAACCACCCTGAGCAGTCACCCAGAGCAGTGACTAAAAAAAAAAAAAAAAAAAAAAAAGACAAAAAAGAAAAAGAAAAATATCTACAGTCAGAAAAGCCGCCTATATCATTATCATTGACCTGGGAGATAAATCAGGTGACTTCTGCTCTTTCTCTCTAAAAAGAGTTTGTCCCTTGCAGGGATATCAACAAAAGAAATTTAGAAATTCAGCATCTATGTTCACTTGCTAATGCATATATACATGTGCTATGTGTGAGAATACGTGATAAGAGTACTTTAGCACAGGTTACACAGTCATGAAAACCTATGTGCTATATATTATCTAGCTCTACATCTGTCTTTTATAGGGAACAGCAAGTAGAGAAGATCTTTTAGAAATATTCCTATAACATAAAGTTAATACATGAAAGATTAAAATCAGAATATTTTCCTATCAAAAATGATAGATTTCTGTGAGTTATAGAGAGCCAAGATTTTCAGTAAAACAAAGTAATATCTCAATTACCCATAAAATGCAAATCTAGTCATATAGCTTTGAAAAGCCATGGTAAAGATTTTTAAAATAAGCATTTATTTCCAGTGATCAAAACGAACTTGTTTTAAAATTTGAATATTAAGAGTCTCTTTAAAATTATATTCCTATGCTAATGGGAGAAACAAAGTCCATGGGATTTTAGAATGGAAAGACATTAGAATATTAACTAGACATATGATGTGAATACCAATCTCCCTTTTTGGAGGATTGTTTTAAAAATCAAATGAGAATACAGATAACGTGCCTATCACAGTGCCTGCCAGAGTGTAAATGTTCAACATACGTTATGGTTGAAATTGTTAAGATCATATTAAAATGTTATTTCTCTGGTGATTGAGATCATTCCAGAAGGTAAGGCTTTCTGTTTTGCATGTTTTGTTACAGTCTCCATCCTTTTCTGTTGGGTACTTAATATTTACTTAGAGATGTTTAGTAGACAAAATTTCTTGACAAAAAGAAAATAGCATTCTCACATAATCTCAGAGTTGTCTCTGATGAATGTAAGTTCCCCTTTTGATTTTCACTATTTCTAGGACAAAGTTTTTGTTCTGTGTTCTCCAAAAGGTAAGTTTTTTTTTTTTGAGACGACTCTCGCTCTGTCGCCCAGACTGGGGTGCAGTGGTGTGATCTCGGCTCACTGCAAGCTCCGCCTCCTGGGTTCACACCACTCTCCTGCCTCAGCCTCCCGAGTAGCTGGGACTACAGGCACCTGGCTAATTTTCTGTATTTTTAGTAGAGATGGGGTTTCACTGTGTTAGCCAGGATGGTCTCGATCTCCTGACCTCGAGATCCGCCCACCTTGGCCTCCCAAAGTGCTGGGATTACAGGTGTGAGCCACCGTGTCCAGCCAAAGGTAAGTATTTTTTATGACCAACTTTAATTTGCTCAAAATGCAGCACTGAAAACTTAGTATGTCCAATTAGATAATACCTTCCTTCCAGAAGTTTTTTAAAAAGATTTTTAATATGTATAGCTATATTTTATTTAATTCTACAAATATGCTTTAAAGACACTTGGTATGGAAAAGTCTTTGTCTCATGGATAGTGGTGATGGAATGACTCAATTATCCTCAAATTTTCCTCCATATGTATAAATAGATCTAATACTACCTTCCAGAAAAGTAAGATTTATATTACTTTCTGAAGAAATAAAAGGCTAAAACAATCATGTAGACTTCATAACTGGCAATGAAATACTTTCCTATGAACTATGTATTAAAATAAGAAGGGAAAGATTTTAATAATTGTTAAAAGTGACAAGCAGGTTGCAAGAATTTGAGATTAATTCACAAAAGTAAACTGATTCAAAAAATAGGTTAGGTAGAGGCAAAACAAAACACAAAAGCAAAAAGAGGCTATAGTTGTTCCAGAAGAAAGTTCTAGATTGATTCATATAATTAGCAAATGTACAAATCAAAAAAGTGCCTTTTTTTTTTTTTTTTTGAGACGAAGTCTCGCTCTATTGCCCAGCCTGGCGCGTAGTGGTGCGATCTCAGCTCACTGCAACCTCTGCCTCCCAGGTTCAAGCAATTCTCCTGCCTCAGCCTCCTGAGTAGCTGGGACTACAGGCATGCGCCAACACGCCCGGCTAATTTTTTGTATTTTTTAGTAGAGACAGGGTTTCACCCTGTTAGCCAGAATAGTCTCCATCTCCTGACCTCATGATCCTCCTGCCCTGGCCTCCCAAAGTGCTGGGATTACAGGCGTGAGCCACCACCCCCGGCCAAAAAAGTGCCTTTTAAAAGTGATTGTGTGCTGCTCATATGGAAGGAAATTTGACAACATCTAATAAAACTACATATGCATTTACTCTTTGACCAGCAATCATTCTTCTAGGAATTTACTCTAAAGCTACATCTCCATAATAATTCCCATTTACAGAAGGTCGACTAAAGCAAGATCCAACCATACAACAGAGTACTATGCAGCCATTTAAGAAACTGGCCATAATAATAGTCAAAAAGATGCCTATGAACTAATGTAGAATGATTTCTGGAATATATTCTTAAGTAAACAAACAAAAATACAAGGTGCAAAGGAGTATATATACTACATTTTCTGTAAGTAAGAATATTAAATATATACAAGTTTGCTTATATATGCAAGAAGAAACATATAAAGAATGAGCCAGAATGAATAAATGTGGTTAGCTACATAGGTATGGTTGGAAGAGAGCAGAAGGAATAGGAATGAGAGCAAGATTTTGCAGTACAGGGGATACATGTTTATACATTTTTTGTGTGGTTTAAAAAAACAATTATTTATTTTTTATTTTTTTAATATATGGAGATGAGGGTCTCAGTTTGTTGCCCAGGCTGGTCTCGAACTCCTGGATTCAAGGGATCCTCCGGCCTCGGCCTCCCAAATTGCTAGGATTACAGGCATGAGCTACTATGCCTGGCCACATTTTTTTAAGTTTTGAATCATGCAAACCTTTTTTAGAATTTCAGAATAAGAATATAAAAAATCACATCCTAACACTGAATATCAACAGAAACAAATGTATCTAACTATATATATAACTCTAACTAGATACCCTTAATGGACTATAGTCTAAGTGCAAAAACAATGTCCAAAAAAAAAAAACAGTTGTACTAAGTAGTTTGCTGTTGGTAGCAGTATTAGTATTGTTATGCTGAAACTATTTTGTACGTATTGTTGGATAAAGTGAATAAGCAAGTATTGCTGAGAACCTGGGTTTTCACTGTGAGAGAGGGGAGATGCATATATAGAATGTGAGAAGTGATGAAGAACCTTGTAGTGGTGGACTTGAATTGGAGCTATGAGACTAAATTCGTGATTTTGAAAAAATATGATTTCCTAACACTATCCTTAGAAAAGTCCTAAAAATAACGATGCTCCGTTAAAAGTGAGCATGTCCAACACCCATATTTGGTTTCTAAATGCTATTCCCCACTTAAAAGAACCAGAACTTCTCAGAGAGATGGCTGATTACAGGTCTGGGGCAGGCAAGATAACAAGATGACCCTGGAAATTTTGGTGTGCATAAAGCAAGGGAGTCTTCAAACACCAATGACATTATATCAAAAGGACATAGGAAGTAGCTTGAAAGGGAACCACTGATAAGCTTGGGACAATTTGAGCATGAAAAAAAGACAGTGGCAGAAACTGATTAGAACTCATTAATTAAAACATAATGGGTTATTTTCCATTAATGCCATGTGTTAGATTAATTTAAAAAACATGAAATCCACAGAAATATTAAAAAGTGGGAAAGGGAAATCACTAGACGAAAAGTTAAGAAGATAATATTGGCCAGGAGCGGTGGCTCACACCTGTAATCCCAGCACTTTGGGAGGCCGAGGTGGGTGGATCACGAGGTCAGGAGATCAAGACATATTGGCCAACATGGTGAAACCCCATCTCTAGTAACATACAAAAAATTGCTGGGCATGGTGGCACGTGCCTGTAATCCCAGCTACTCAGGAGGCTGAGGCAGGGCAATCGCTTGAACCCAGGAGGCAGAGGTTGCAGTAAGCTGAGATCGCGCCACTGCACTCGAGCCTGGTGACAGAGCAAGACTCCAACAACAACAACAACAACAACAACAACAACAACAAAAGATAATAATCACATGGTCTGTAAATATCACTACACAGATTAATTAAAAAGGGAAAATGTTCCTTTACAATGAGGAGAGCTAGAAGACTACACCTTAAGCATGTTCAAATTTAGCAAAACCAGTAATAAAACCTGACTTTATTGCCACCTGATGTGATACAATAAATACACATCATCACCCACACCAAATACTTCAGCACAAAAAGGAATATCATAATACCTACAACTTTCAAATGGTTCAGTAAATGTGGCAAAATGCCAACAACTGGTGAGTAAAAGTGAAGAGTATAAGGATGTTAATTGTACTAGTTTTTCAACTTTTCTATAGATTTGGAATTTTGTAAAATAAGAGTTGGGGAAGAAAAAGTGTGTAGGATGATTTGAGGACAGAATTGACTGGGTGATAGTTATTAAAGATTCCACCGTTTTAATTTCACCATATAAAAATTATGCCACACTACTAAAACAACTAAACCTGATTAAATTTTTACCTTCAACTGAGACTACTAAATGTGACAATGCCACCCCAAAAGCGGAAGGCATAGTAATTAAGCCGAAGTTCTAGCAATAAATTTTAGTGGGTCTTAGTCACTCTGGTAAGAAATGTAATACATTAATCTACTTAAACATTTTCTGAGTGCTTGCTACATTTCAGCCAGAGGTATAGAGATCAGTAAGTTCTGCCAGTTTACTGGGTAAGGTACCTGAGTCAATTTTCCGGAGTATGAACAAGGTCCATCCATAAAATGTCTCAAATCTTTCCGATGTATTTTGTCGTTGCTGTTTGGATGAACCCCCAAAAGAGGATTTTATGAAAATAGTCAATGTTCTTATGTATATTCATCCTCCAAACCTAGTATTCCACTACTGTTTTGACAAATGTTAGCTACTTTTTACACACTTCAAACATGCAGATGTTATGCAAGTAGGTAACTTTTTAAAGGTCAGCTGAAGAATCTTTGACAAAAATAATTACAAAATATATGAAAACTGAAATCATATTGGTAGTATCTTGGCCTTTTCTGCAATTCTAATTTATTTTGAAAGTGCTATATAACACGCCTTAAGACGGTTCTGGGAAATGTACATAGTATTCATTCTTAAATGAACTACTTGTCAGTTTAACATTTTGCAAAATCTTCATTTTCATTCACAAGTTGATTCCAGCCAATCTATTTCGTGGAACAAAAACATTAATTTTAAAATAACTAAATACAAAAATAAGGTTAATATACCTTTAAATTTAAAAAGGCAATGATGCAAGTTAGTTACTAAAAAGAATTACTATAGTTAGCAATACATTTTTTACTAAAATAAACACTTATCTCTTCTTGGTTTATCATAAAATATATTTACTTCATTAAAAACTATTGGCACCCAAGGTATACTAAACATAAATCTAGCTGATCTCTTCCAGTTGTTGCAGATGTTCAAACACATTTTACATCCTTAGAATAAACGTGACAGACAATCATGCAACAAAGGCACTCTGTAAGAGTCACATGTCAATATACTAGGTAACAAACCGGTTACCTTAACAATCCTCTACCCCTACCACCTGGTGAACTGTAGAATACTGGGGGTGTTTTCACTTTTTCACAGACTTGTGGCAAGAGATATATTTATTATTGCTACAACTAACATAGTGCTTTACACATTACATATACCAAATGTATTTCTTTAACAAACAATGTATTAAGCAAAGTTTTATGCAGTTTACCTTTCTATTCTCCTTATTTTCTTGAAGGTATTTTTCAAATAGATGAAGAAAATATACAAATTACTTCAATTCTCCTTTCTATTCTTATTTTCTTGAAGGTATTTTTCAAATAGATGAAGAAAATATACAAATTACTTCAATTCTATCTGCCCATCAGATTGTGTTCCAGAAAAATTCAATCAATTAGCCATTAAGAAAATAATGTATATTCATTTCTCCACATTCCTCAAATGTTGTATTTGTCATTTGCTTATTCTGTGCTGTTAGTTTTTGTGTATGTGCCCGAGGCTATACATTTAGTCTTATGAAAATATCTGAATATAAATTAGGTCCCTTTTACATTTTATTAACAGGAATCTTTACAAGTTCTTGTCACACCTTTATCATTCTTATTCTTGACATTTTAATCATCTTTTCATACCAACTAAAATAGGTACTATTTAGTATATACTTACTATTCCAATATCAAAATGATTTCACTTGTATTTTCATAGACCTCATGAAGATTAATAACACGGGGACAAGACTTTGCCAATTCAAGCACAGCAATCTCGTGTAAAATTTCTGCTCGACAATCCTGTCCTCTTCTTCTCTTTTTTAGAAATTTTGCAGCATATTCTTGGCCAGTAGATTTTGATATACATTGTCTAACCACAGCAAATTTTCCTCTGGGGGAAGATGAGAACAATCAATTTTAATTTTTCTGCAGAGAACAACGTTAGTATATTACAGATTCTGTTATACCTCCAACTTAAAGTCAATTCTTTGAAATATCTGTGTCATTAGGAATTTATCTTTGTTCTCTAAATTGATTCAAATATCATACGTACTTTTATAAAATTTATAGTGCTATCACGTACAAATGTAAATGGCAAACTATAACAACAGGATAAGACAGAATTATATTTATTCTTCACTACTAAAATGATACATTATCTTGGGAGGCCGAGGCAGGCAGATCACTTGAGGTCAGGAGCTCAAGACCAGCCTGGCCAACATGGCAAAACCCTGTCTCTACTAAAAATATAAAAATCAGCCAGGCGTTGTGGCGCATGCCTGTAATCCCAGCTACACAGGAGAATCTATTGAATCTGGGAGGCAGAAGTTGCAGTGAGCCAAGATCATGCCACTGTACTCCAGCCTGGGTGACAGAGTGAGACTGTCTCAAAAAAAAAATAAAAAAAAGATACATTATCATTGCAGGGAAATAATCTCATTTGCACACCAACTCCATGCCATGCTCTTGATATAAATTATTGTGTTTAAGTATCACAACAATCCTATATAATAAATGCTCTCCTGTTCTTCACACCTCAGAGAAGATATGTAATTTAGTCAAGGTAAAGATTTAAACTCAGGTCTATTTCCAAAAACTGTACCCTTCATAGGGTATCATGTTAACTCTCTAATTAGAATAGCTTACCTTTAAATATAAGAAATTAAAGTGAATGCAAAAATGGGTATTTGACTTATTTAATTTTATTAGTAATTTTTCCTTTCAACACAATTTTTACCACCTTTGAAACTATCACAATTGTCAATTGTTTTAGCAATATGTCTCTTAGTAATGCTCAGTAGTCTTTGAAGCCTGTAACAGATAACTAAGGTATATGTGTCCTACAGAAAATATTCAAAGATACTTCATGATAAACTAAGAAAATAATGGTTATCACAGCTATGTACAAACACACCCATTAAGGTCATGTTTATCATTTTAGAAATAAGTATGCTTTTAGCTCTCTCCAATGGCAGTGCTTAGTACCTCTGCCAAAATTTAAAGACACCGAAAATTCATTTCTATTGGCATACGTGTTACTGTAAGTCTACAGCGGCCAAAAATTTATTTTCACAAAAGCCTAAAGCTATTCTGAGTCAAGGATTATTTTGGGAAATTAATAAAAGCTATTCTATTGACTGCCTACCCAGAAAAATATACACAAGCCCTTAAATAGGAAGTTTTACATATAATTCCAGAGGGTTTTCAGATCTTAAAGCCCATCCATAAACCTTATAAGGCTGAGTATAGGGGATCCAAAATTAAGAACCTCTACCTTAAATTTTGAATTACTCTCTGGATTCTGATACTAACAAATCAGGTATAAATAAAAGATCTTTAGGAAGCAATGTTTGTTCCATAACTCCTCTTGCCTCAATTCCCTTCAATATATTTCTAACACAGTCTATCAGACTCTTAGCATGGAAAACAAAACTTGGTGTTTAGGGGGTACGGGGTGGAAACTGGGGGACTACACTGCTTGACTGTATTTTACTAGCTATTCGCAAAGGCCAAGATGACAAAGAGTCCTACTTTTTATTACCCAAATTTCCTCAAAATTGATGTCAGTGGAAAGTACTGGAAATCAAACTATAATTTGACTCTTCTACATTTATCAAAATATATTAATACATCAACTAAATAAATTTGCATATAAAAACCTGATTCTTTGAAAGCAGTTTTAAGATTTGAGAATGCTTAACTATAAAATATTTTCTCATTGTATGCAGAAGGAATACAAATTGATGGGTTTCGATGAGCACACACACACAAAAATTAGTCCCTTTATATTCAATCCACTGGTGTTTCATAAATTTTATACTGGATAAATTGAGTCAGAATAAGATTAAATACCTCATGAAAGCTCATAAATGGAATCGGAGCCTCAAGAATAAAACTGTGAAATGTGAATTCCTAACTTTCTGTTCTAATCACTATAAAACAATTCCTCCCTTTAAAATAGTTTTGTTGGGCCAGACGTGGTGGCTCATGCCTGTAATACCAGCACTTGGGGAGGCCAAGGCGGGCAGATCCAGAGGTCAGGAGATCAAGACCATCTTGACTAACACTATGAAATCCCGTCTCTACTAAAAATACAAAAAATTAGCCGGGCTTGGTGGCACATGCCTGTAATCCCAGCTACTCAGGAAGCTGAGGCAGGAGAATCACTTGAACTCGGCAGACGGAGGTTGCAGTGAGCTGAGACCACGTCACTGCACTCCAGCCTGGGGGACAGAGCAAGACTGTGTCTCAAAAAAAAAAAAAACAAAAAAACAGTTTTGTTAAAGAAGTGTAACTCACTTGCTTCTATCAATTCTTACTTAGATTTCGAAGCAAAAACTTGACTAAAACAGGAAGGAAATTTTGGGCTTTATAAAGAAATTCACTTGTAAAATTTAGGAAACAGAAACTAGTTAGCCAAGAAAACTGTGCATCTGAAAAAACAGTTTATAGTAGTGCTTGTGACAATTCAGTTCTGCAATAATTTTATTATTTATTTTATCTGTAAATAACACTTCTTATCTAATTGTTCCAGGTATTACCAAGAGGTTGTTTTTTTTTTTTTTTTGAGACAGGGTCTCGACTCTATCACCCAGGATGGAGTGCAGTGGCAGGATCTCAGCTCACCGCAGCCTCAACCTCCCAGGCTCAGAAGATTCTCTTACTTCAGCCTCCTGTGTAGCTGGGACCACAGGCACGCACCACCACTCCTGGCTAATTTTTTACATAATTTGTACAGACAGTGTCTCCCTATGTTGCCCAGGCTGGTTTCAAACTCCTGGGCTCAAACGATTCTCCTGCCTCAGCCTCCCAAAGTGTTGAAATTTTACAGGCATGAGCCACTGCACCAGCCCAAGAGGCTTTCTTAAACAAGTATAGTACTCATTAATCCAGGGCAAAGGTGACCAAATGATGTGGATAATGATTTATTTATTTGTCAACGTTCACCACTAAGTAAAAGCTCCATGAGGGCAGGGACCATATCTGTCCTAATTATTATGGTAATTATAAAATCTACAGTTTGTTAACACATAATAGGAACTGAAATATCTGTTGAATGAATGCCAGAAATATGTACCCACTATAATACCATATACTGTGCTATTCTGTATCCTGTACTTAAAGTGTTTGTATTTCTTAAAAGATTGAGATTCCAATAAAATTATATATATGTGTGCGTGTGTATTCATTTATATACTATGAAGGTAAACATTTTTACCATAATTATCAGATGACTTAGGAAAAAAACCAAATATTTGTTTTCCATTCTAAAATGCTATAGTTTAAAAGTATAAAAAATGATCTTTAAAATATGTTTCTATTCCAAATGTAATTGAAACATTTAAGAAAAGTTAAAGCATTTAAAAATAATCCTTAAGTTATACCCTAAAAAGGCAAGGCTAACTAGATTTCCCAGCAGCGAAAAGGTCTAGTAGTTACCCTTCTGCATTCCCCTTCTGCATTCTAGAATACACAATAAAATGTGAAAGGAGGCGGGAGGGTAAGCCACAAAGGAAGCTGACGTTTATTTCTGAATCTGCCTCACCCTTCTAACCACAAGAAGTCCTATGAAACCTTTGCCTCAGTTGGGGGAGGGGTAGAAAAAACTTACCCAACATGTTAAAAAACAGGAACAATTCAAGTTTTTTGAGAATAGTAAAAAATGAACTGTTAACTTTTACATAATTTCCTTTAATTTGCTAAAGGAAAATGAATTATTAAACACTAACACTCTGAAATAAAAAAGTTGATTCAGAAAGATAACTTTCAAAATGTGCAAACCTCAGAAGAAATGATTATGATTCTAATTTCCATTTCACAAAAGCATAGGATATTAAAATTGGTAACAATATTGAAAGAACTTTCAGTACATTCTTGGCAGATGAAAAGCCATGATTTCTAATTTATCAAGATCTAATAATTAAACATATCAATATTTACCATGTGACTCATTAGCCCATATCAATTCAAAAGAAAGATGTTACTTGGTCTCTTTCATAAAGATATTTTAAAATGGGAATTTAGCAATCAATCTAAATTTGCTTTAATCAAATTCTATCATGAGTTTTTGATCTAAAATTCTAAAAAGTATGCCTAATTCAACTTTATTTATGGTGGCACCTCATTTATAAAGCAATTTAGAATTACTAATATCATCCTCAAAGTTTAAATTATCCAAAGCCCTCAAAGCAAAAATACTTTATAGATTTTTTAGCTCCTATAATGTCCCCAATTTTGAAAAGTTAATTTAAAAAATGTAAGTAAATTTACTCATCAAATAGTAACTCAGAAAAATAGAAAAGAAAGTGACTTTTATTGTGTGTACTGTTCAAGACTTGCATAATATTCATTTCCCCATCGCTGAAGCATTCAAACTGAGGCTGGATAACAGTTTGTTCGGGAAATTATAGGAAAGATTGCTGCGCTGCATACAAACATTGTATTAGTAAGACCACGGACCACTGAAGTCTTTCCAATGCAGAGATTCTATGGTTCAATGTGAGATACAGGAAACTTAAAAAAAAGAAAAAGAAAAAAAGAAAAAAAAAACCTTTCTTCCTATTATAATGCAAAATGAAGTAATTAAGATTTAGAACAATTTCTTAAAAACATTTTAAAAGGTTCTAAAAACTCTATCTTTTAATACACCATTAAAACACCCAAATATTTTGCACATTAAATTAGTATGCCAGGAATTATGAAATGTGCTTTTGTATTTAATTCTTGGTCAGTGAGGTAGATATTATAATTCTTTTTTTTTTTTTTTTTTTTTTTTTGAGACAAAGTCTCACTGTGTTGCCCAAGCTGGAGTGCAGTGGCATGATATCGGCTCACTGCAACCTCCACCTGCCGGGTTCAAGTGATTCTTCTGCCTCAGCCTCCTGAGTAGCTGGGACTACAGGCACACGCCACCATGCCTGGCTAATTTTGTATTTTTAGTAGACACAGGGTTTCACTATGTTGGCAAGGGTGGTCTCGAACTCCTGACCTCGTGACCCACCCTCCTCGGCCTCCCAAAATGCTGGGATTACAGGCGTGAGTCACCACACCTGGCCAGATATTATAATTCTTATTTTGCAAAAGAAAGGCTGCATCCAACATCTGCAACGTGAAAAAGCCAGGACTTGCCTCTGCCCTTAAGGTAAAAGGCCACCAAGAATGAAATTACTTTTCATGATTCAGTCAACTTTTCTTCTCACATCGAGATTTTCAAAGACAAAAATCAATCACATTGTTTTGCTGCACATTTATCAACACAAATATGGACTTAGTAAACCATTTAACATACAACAAAACATTTACCTCCAGAACTAAAATCAAACTGAAAATACATGATGACTACCATCTTCCAACCCTTCATTAAGCACCTTTAATTTAAAGCTCAAAAGATGCTGAATATATAACTTAAATAACTTGGTATATCTTTTATAACTTTTCATATATTAAAATGGTAGTACAGAATGGTTTCATAATATCATGTCACTCCTTGGCCGTACAGAGTTTATACACTGGTTAAGAGAAAACAATTTGTAAAGGCTTTTTACTTATAAACCACTCATTTGTTGTGACATAGAATCAGACTATGAAATATGAATTCATTCTTTTTGTTCAACTTAGGAGAGGGGGAGAATCTCCCTATTTCTTCTTCTTCTTCTTTTTTTTTTTTTTTTAAGCCAAGCACAATACCCTAGGAATTTAAAAAAATATTTCATTTAACAAAAACTTACAGAGCACTGTACTAGGCACTTTACAAATATTAACTAACTTAATCCTCATAACAACCATATAAGACAGACACAATTATCTTCACCCCTACTTTTCAGATGAGGAAACGACAGCACTAAGAGGTACAGTAGGCAGGGCGCAGGGGCTCACACCAATTATCTCAGCACTTTGGGAGGCCACGGCCAGAGGATTGCTTGAACCCAGGAGTTGGAGACCAGCCTGGGCAACATGGAGAAACCCTGTCTCTACAAAAAACCAGCCCAGTGTGGTGGTGTGTGCCTGTAGTCCCAGCTACTTAGGAGGCTGAGGTGGCAGATCCCTTGAGCCCAGGAGACAGGAGGTTGCAGTGAGCCAAGATCATGTCACTGCACTCCAGCTTGAGCAACAGAGTGAGACCCCGCCACAAACAAAAATTAAAAAAAGAGGTACAGTTATTTAGTTGAAGTCACACACCTAGTAACTGGTGGAGTCCAAACTTGAACTCGGCAGTCCACTATGCTGAGCTGCCTCTTCCCATGCACAGCCTCATGTAACGACAGAGACCTCCTATCAGAGGCTCTGAGGCTAGGTAGGATGTATGATTTAAGTTCACTAAACCCTCCACAGATTTGATTTTCAAGTCAGTTAAGACTGGACCCTAGGTAACAGCAACAGAGATCACAACTTTCCTTCCTAATCATTGTTAAATAATGATCCCAAGTGAGTTTTATAGAATTATAAAAACACAAATCCAAAATTTGAATTTAGATGGCATACACGTCATATGGTTTTCTTACCTCCCTAGCTCTTTAGATGTAAGTATATAGAAATTATTAAAGTTTTCCATTTTTATTGGAATTTGAGGAGTTGTAGTTAGTAGGCCTGAAATACTTCGGCAATCAAATCTCCTCCTCGACATGTTAGGTGATTCCCAGGTCTGCTTCTTTAGTCACTTATTTTTACCTATGCAAAAAAAGAGAATACAGAGAAAAGATGTTATCTCAGGCAGGATGTGCATTACATTACACAGCTCCAAATATAGCTATAAAATACAACTAAAAAAAAAAAAGATTTAAAGAGCACATTCTATCCACAAGGAGGAAAAAACAAAAAGCATACACATAAACCATAATAACACTATGGCACTTGAACGAAGTTACTGACTTCATTTCAGAATAAAACTACGGTAAAAATCCTCTCAATTTAAAAAAAATAGTTATGATAAAATTATAATGCAAACAATCACTTAGTTTCATCATAAAACTCCATTCTTTAAAGTTATAGAGGTTTCAGCTGGACATGGTGGTATACGCCTATAATCCCAGCACTTTGGGAGGCTGAGGCAGGAGGATCACTTGAGGCCAGAAGTTCAAAACCAGTCCTGGCAACATAGCGAGATCCCATCTCTATGAAAAAATTTAAAAATTAACTGGGTGTAGTGGCTCGCACCTGTAGTCCCAGCTGCTTGGGAGGCTGAGGCAGGAGCATCACTTGAGCCCAGAAGTTTGAGGTTGCAGTGAGCTATGAATGTGCTACTGCAGTTCAGTTTGGGCAATAAAGCGAGATCTTATCTCAATAAATAAATAAATAAATAAATAAATAAATAAATAAAGTTATAGGTTTCACATAATAGGTAATTTAATACGACAAGATAATAATTATTCATTTTAAACTTATTTTCACATGGCTAAAGAAATTTGGTGGTAAATGCACATATTGTGAGTTATATTACTGACGTGAAGGACTACAAGAAATAGAACTTCTTCCACGGATTGGCTATGTTTCAGTACTAAACTCAGAAACTCTCAAAGGTCTTAAGAGTCCCTCCTTTGACAGGACCTAGCACAGAGCCTGCTATGTATGAAGTGCTCAATAATTTTGTTGGAAGAGTGACTAACCTATACATAAAGCTTTATTTCGAAGTTCTGTATCTGAAGCTCATATATGTATCTGGAAATTTGTGATGTTTATATGCATTCAGTGTTATCAAAACTATTATATTAATTGCATTCATAAAACAATAACAGATACTATATTTCAAGACACTTATGACTTATTGCTATGCCTACTTAATAAAATATCAATTATTATTCTTTTAGCACCCTCCTGTAGTAACCCGCTAAGCATTTGTTCCTCCTCTGACATCTTTTTTTCCTATTTTCTACTTATATGTACTGTTCTTTATCTTCTTAAATTCAAATGCCAACTATAGTCTACTTAGCCAAAAAGCAGTGTCATTAGAGTTCAGCGTTTTCAGTTTCTACATTTTCTCTTCTTGGTGTTATTCTCAAATTATGAACGCGTCACTGCAGTTCAGCCTGGGCGATAGATGGAGACCTTGTCTCAAAAAATTAAATTAAAATTATAGCTTTCACATAACTAGATAGTAAAATTGTTTTCTCTACATCTCTTAGTCTTTGGGGAAACAGCTCTAACTAGTTTTGGGGTACATCTCTAGGAGTCAAAGGGTTGTAGTGTAGCATTCTGAGAATAACCTTTAGACTGAAAGACACCTGGGTCTGAATTCCATTCATCCATCATACCAGCTATGAGACCTTAATTAAATTATTTAACTTTGCTATTGTTATGGGCTGAATTGTGTCCTCCCCCAAATTCCTAAGTTGAAAAACCCTAACCCCTGTATCTCATAATGTGACTGTCTTTGGAGACAGGGCCTTTAAAAAGGTGATTAAGTTAAAATGAGGTCATTAAAGTGGGCCAATTAGGACACAGACACACACAGAGGAAAGACTATGTGAACACACTAGGAGAAGGCAGCCATCTACAAGCCAAGAGGGCAGGCCTCAGAAGAAACCAACCCCGCAGACACCCTGATCCCAGATTTCTAGCCTCCAGAATCGTTGAGAAAATATACTTCTGTTAAGTCGCCTGATCTGCGGCAACACAGTTATTTAAAAAGAAAACAAAATATATAATATTTCAAATGTAAGATAAGGAACACTATATACAAACATTTACTTTCCAATCTTATTACTTGGTCATATTTCATTTAAATTAAAAATAAAACATATTAGACATAGCCCCTTCTTTCCACCCCCAGTTTACACTCCCACTAGCACTGGATGGGACGGTTTATCACTACTTTGACAATACTTGCCCAATTCAGACTTTTAAGTTTGGCTATTCTAGTGTGATGAAGGTGAAATGGAATTTTGTTGTGATTTACTTCGCATTCCCTTTTACTGGTGAAGAAAGCTTCGATTTTGCTGCCTCTAAAGTATGGATGATAAAAGAATTGATCTTCCAGTGCTGCAAGGATTAAAAATTAAAATATGCTGAACTCATGTCCACTGACACAGGTACAGTGCAAGTCACAAGGGCATATCGCTATTGTTCCACAAAACAAAATTAACATTCTACCCAAAAATACTCTCCCTGCAGTTCCCTGCCATTGTTGAACAGCTGTACTGTTTCCATGTACAAAATTCTCATCCCAACTTAGTCTAAACTTCATTCTTAAAAGTATTTTTGTTTTCTGTTTTAACTACTTATGTATCTTCTTAGTTCTGATAGCGCTCAGTTTCACTGATTTTTTTCCATTGTTCTGAAAGATCAATATGGGTACCAATTTCCTCATAAGTTCATCTATTTATTAAAAATATACCTACATCACAAGCTGCTTTAGGCATCCATTAAGCATTTCTTAAGTTCATTTTCCTTTTATTTACTGCATCTGAACCAATTGTCAGAGCCAAGATATTTTTCCATTTCCTCTCCTTTGGCCAGTTTTGCATATAGTGGAGCATGAATGTCACCTTTGTCCACCAAGCCCTCCTCAAACATCTGGTTGCCCTTCATATAAGGTACATGCAGGTTATGAGTCAGCTCTCTGTCGCTCCTTCTTGTATCTTCCTAAATTTCCCACCAAATTCTCTTTAACTCCAACAATTCCCAGGCCTTTTCTTGTCTTCTACCACACTTCATATTACCGATTCTAAATTACCTATATGTCTCACTCCATTTGAAATTCATTTCATAACATTTTATCAGGTTATAGCATTTAAAAAAAATCTTAAGGGACCTGGTAAGTAAATTTATATGCATGTGTATACACGATTAGATCCTATAAAAAGTGTAATAGAAGGTAAGACACAATTAAGCTTTTAATCACACAGTACTACTACAAATAATGGTATCTCACTTATTTTTAAAGATTTTTTTCATTAATTCTCATTATAATAATTACCAAAAGAATTTGGAAGTAGATCAGTGAAGGAAGGAAAAGAAGGAAATGTTAGGCTTGATCTGGGCCTTCACTTACTTGAATGCAGAAAGCAAGTGTGATGTGAACAAAAGCAAGACTATCTCTATAAACCTCTAGCTCTATTTTAAAAAGTATTTATCATGATATTTATTTCAAAATTATCAAATAAGAAAGTTTTTAAAAAATAGAATATACAATAATAAAGACATTTAGAAAATCAAATTGTCTGTTTTGATTCCTTCATTAGCTCCCCAGTATCTACAAGCTTTCAAGTACTTACAGCATGACACATAAAGGCCTCTGAGGCCAAGTATACACCAGCTACATTTCCTGCCGCACTCATATTTCATATTTTGCCACCACATCTTTGTTATACTTCTTTGCCTGAAAAAGCCTTTCTACTTTCCTTAAATGGCTAACTCTTCTTACACATCCTTCAAAACTCAACACAGAATGGCCTCTCCCCCAGGAAGCTTTGCCTAAAAACCACAGGCTGATTTAAAGGCTTCTCCTTTATGCTTCAAATAAGAGGATCCTTGGCATACTTCTTTACCTCAAAATGTAACATGTTAGATTGCAATTCTGTTCAGTGTTTAAAGGGCAGCATCCTTTTACTTTTGTGCCTAAGCAACCAGCATGGTATCTGCCACCCGGTAGGAATTTTAAAAATGTTTGATGAACTGAATTGTAAGAATTATGAGATATAGAAAAAAGAATTTGTAGGTATATCTCATGTCTTCGAGGGGTTAGGAGAACTTGAGATCCATCTTGAATTTACAGTACTGGAGCTCTGAATGCAGCTAGTCTCTGCTTAATTCAGCATTTGGACAAATAAAGTAACTATTTTAAATTGCACTTACAAAATGTCAGTTCTAAACAGGTAGCCACAAAGTCTGGAAACACAGATAAAATTATTTTGTCATATACTATAATGTAATGCCAATAGACCTTTTGTTTTTACCACTGTTTCCAGACAAGGTGGCTACTTGTTTTTAATATAAGCTACTAATACAAATACCTACTGCAGTTAAGAACATCACTCTTTTAAGAGCCTCCAAAAATCAGGAGATTCAGGTAAGTGTCCTATCAAGATTTATCACTGATAAGTCTAGATCATCATGAAGTACATTGGAAAGGCAACAGGAAGCAAAGTAAGCCCGAAGATTCTAAGGGAAGCAACTCCTTTCTACATAGGCATTTAAGGCATTTACTGCTAGCAAGCTTTCCCTAGGAAACTGAAAAAGAGATTTAACGTCCATCAAAAGTAAAGGAAGAACTTTCTCCTGGTGTGGCAGAAGTATGTGTTTTTAATTAGTCATTGATTAGAAGTATTGGTATCAAGATGGAAATGATGATGATTTTCAATTTCAAGGAAGAGATTATATTCCTCATATGTATTCTGCCAACAGGTTTTGTTTTTTAAAATATTTTGAACAGAAAATATAATTCATAAACTTAATCCTCTAAAAATCACAATAGGAAGTCAGCTAAACTAACTCTAATCCAACCATTCTAGTATATACTATCCAAGGGCTGAAGTGTCAGGCAATGACTCCTAGGCCTGACTCTGTGCCAAGACCCTAAGGCCTAATGCTGTGTCTTCCCACCTCCAGAAAAAGAGTTAAACCTGTTAATTGTGAACCAGGATAAAAGGTTGAAAAACGGAAATAGAGTGGGGGATTCCGGGGTGGGCAACAAATGCATGGTGCTTGTCACTCACAAGACGGAAAATTGGGTTTCTGTTGTAAAATATTGTTTACTTAATAGCACCGCTTAAGTACTATTTATTCAGTAACTATTACAATGCAAAATGGAATCTGCCTTTAAGGATTAAAGAGGAAATTACCATCTCACTGTTAAAATTTTTCAATGCTTACAGTATCACTACACCCTCTTTTGGAGTAATTGCAAAGGGTCAGGGATGAACCAAAATACAATGCATATAAATATTAAAAGAAACTAATATATATGTTTTAAATGGCACTGAAGTTTGAGGTTAAATGTTCTGGAAAAAGGATAATAAAAAACTTAATAAAGTATGCCCTGAAAATTGCAACATTACAACATATTTAAATAAAAATACATGCTTGTAACTTTATAAGAACATTTCTTAACTGAAATATTCAAAGAAATAGCCTTTGATAACAGCCCAGCATAGAATACAAACTACAGTACTTAAACATAAAATCACTGAATTTTGTCATCAATATTATGAAAAACTAAAGCAACTGACATTTGAAGTTTTCCTAAGTGGAAAGGTAGTAGATAAATGACTGCTAATGTTTCTGACAAAACAAATACCCATACAGTGCAGAAGATTTCTTTATGAAAAGAAGAATCAATCAGTATCCTTTAAAAGTAGTAAGCCTAGGAATACTATTTTTTTTTTTTTTTTTTTTTTTTTTGAGACGGAGTCTCCCTCTGTTGCCCAGGCTGGAGTGCAGTGGCGTGATCTCGGCTCACTGCAACCTCGGCCTTCCGGGTCAAGCAACTCTTCTGCCTCAGCCTCCCGAGTAGCTGGGACTACAGGCGCGCGCCACAATGCCCGGCTAATTTTTGTATTTTTAGTAGACACGGGGTTTCACCATATTGGTCTCGAACGCCTGACCTTATGATCCGCCCGCCTCGGCCTCCCAAAGTGCTGGGATTACAGGCTTGAGCCACTGCGCCCGGCCAGAATACTATTCTTAACTGCCAATCTTACATACAGAAAATGTGAATTACAATATACTATGCATGCAATTTTAAGGCAATTTAACGATTAAGTGAAAGTGTTATTAACTGAATTCCTTGACTTCTTGTGTCTCTAAAATTAAAGCAAAAATATTTTCATAAGGAAATTCTCCCTTATAATTATCAAAGAGCTTTAAAACATGTTAAAATGTTCACTTAACAAAAGTAAAACAGAGCAAGCTTAAAAATAAAATTATCTGATTAGAAACGTCAGCCATAAAAATGCTTGTATCTTCTTCAAATTTGTTACTCATATGCTAACACAGCGATTAGTCAAACCTCCAACTTCCTAAAAACGCATTCTATCTTAACCAAATCGTAATTCACTAATCAATGATCCCAAGAGAAACCGCAACCATTCTATTCACACACAAAAAAGGATGGTCTTCAATTACAGAAATTCTACTTTTAAAAAGTCTTGCCATGTAAGCAAATATATTTCACCTCAATTTTGGATCCCTACTTTAGAAAAAAAAAAAGATCTAAAATGTACAATATGTATCTCAAAAATAAAACATCTATTAATACCTCCAATTATTAAGATACTAGAAAAAGTTTAATTGAGCATCTGCTCAGAGGAGGAGGATCCGAGGCAGATGAGTTTAAAACTTTTGCACCGCTTCTATGGACCAGTTTTCTTAAAAAATACACAATCCTAGGGGTACACGGTCTAATATTTATAAAATAAGCACTTGTTGAAAATTACTTCCGAACAGTTCACCATAAAACTAAAAAACAGTGTTATCAATGAGAAAGTAGGTTTATTTTCCTTTAATAAAATTGTGCTCCTGGGTTCAAAATGCCAGGTTACATACGCTGCCACTCATTTCTACAGAGCTATGCTGTCTCCGCGCAGACATTCTCATAGACTTGAAAACGTAAAGTGGCCACACCACGTCAAACGTCCCTGGCAAGGTTCTGCTTATCATTAGCACCACAGATGTAAACATTACGTCGACAAAACAATCGGTGAATGTGATACACAGTCCTCATGTGTTTAAATATTAGTGAAATCTGATAAGTATTACGATTTTAAAAACGTATTTTCTTAATTCCAATTTCCAAATTGATGTCAGAGTGCCTCTAGTCCAGACAGAAACTAATGCCAGCTACCAGCTGCTATAAAGCCTCTTTCAACTTTGTCTCTACTTCTCCCTCGGAGGAAATTCAAATGAAACGCTTTTCCCTACAATAAAACAAAGAGCCTGGGTAAATGTCAAAAATCGTTGGCATCCAGTAGTGGTATAGTTTGAGGATGAGTCGTGCACACTAAGTGGGTCACAAGGCATCAAAGCAAAAATCAGATCGCTGAAAATCACGGAAACAGCTGTAGCCCGTCTTGATCTCTCGCTGGTTTTAAAACACTGTTCCCAAGCAGTAACTGAAAACGTCCCACAAGATGAACACGAACTTTCTCTAGACGAAAGGCAGCTGGGAGCAGGACGCGTCCACGAGTCCCGATGGGAACGCGCCCACGCCGCAGCTGGGACTCGGGAGAGGCTAGGGGGACCGCGTGGCCTTGCTGTGGAAGGGACCCGCGCGGGCCCGCCGCGAAGGGGGCCCTGCCTGGCGCGACCTGGGGAGAGCCGGGGCCGGCCGGGTGGAGGGCGCACGGGGACACACGGACACGCACAGACACAGACACGCGCCCCGGGCTGAGGAGGGTGGTGGGAGGACCGCCGGCCGCCCCCCGCGCGGAGCCCCAGGGAACCCGGACTCCAGCCGCAAAGCGGAGAGGCGCCAGCAGCAATCAGCCACCTCAGGGGCGGCGGAGTCCAAGCCCCTCTCAGCCGGACCGTACCGCCTAAACCCTCCTCGGGTCCTCCTTCCTCACGTATGAGGTCTCTGTACCGAGGCGGCTGGTTCCATCGCAGCCCCGAGCCAACCCGCCAATCCCGCAGGACACTAACCGCTCCGGCCGCCGCAGGTTCTCCCGGGACTGCCCCCTCCAGGGGGCCGCTGTCCCGCCCCACGCCGGGGGCCGCCACAGGACGAGTTCTCTAGCTCCAGCCGGGCGAGGCGCCAGGGAGCTCCGAACGTGGCAGGATCCACTTTTACTTTTCCAGACAAGGGCCGACGGTTGTGACCTGGCTTCTCGTGAAGTGACTCCTGGCGACAGCAGCGGAGAGGACTACCGAAGCTTGCAGTCGCGGTTTGAAAACTGCAGCCGCGTCTGGGGCATCGCCGTTCGCCAGATCCCTCCCCCTAGGTCGGGAGAGCCAATCGGAACGGGTGCGGAGGGTGGGTCTGTCACGTGACGGGAGGGGCGGGGCACCGGCCGGGGGCGCGTGTGCGGGGCGGGGCCCGGCGGTGAGAGGGTGCGGCGCCTGGCTGGCCCGAGGCGGGGCGGGGAGGCGCGGCGGCGTGGCGGCGCAGGTGGGGCGCACTCGGGCTGCCGCGAGGGAGGGGCGGAGGGGGCGGCGCTGCAGAGGGGGCGCGCGGGGCTGGAACTACTGCTCTGTGTACTCCTTCCCACCTTCAGAGAGGTCAGTTCGAGAGGTGTGAATATCCGGAGACCGGGGAGAAGGAAGCCGCAAAATTCGTCCCAGCTGCCTGCGACTAGTTACCAAACTTCAGTGCCTACCAAAGACCTATTTTCTGACTCTTCTTGAGAGTCTTCCTTAGGACCGGAACGTACCCTGTAAGTGGAGAACCCAGTTTGCTACAACTTGGCAGAGGTTCCTCGGAGTGTCAACATCAGTTGGGGATTTATGGAACCTAGACCCCACTGCTAACGTCCGCTGTCGCGAATGGTGTCCCTTCTGAGGCACTGACTGAAGGCAGTGTAGGGAGGGTCCCAATAGGCTGAATAGCCGATTTTGCATTTATAGTGCTAAGGAAAAAGATGAAAGCCCTCAGCAACCTACTCAAGATCTGTTATCCTTTGAAGACAGTGGAAATTTTCAAAGTTCTGTGCAAGACACAAATGTTTTACATAGATATATAATCCTAGTTTATATGTATAGGATACACACATACTCATACATATATGGGATTAGTTATGTAATCTAGGATTGCTTTCAGAGGACATTTACGATAATTGCAGAAAACCCTTCCGTGGGAAAGGATACTGGGAGTGGAGTCGTCCTCTTGCTTTCAAAAGACTTAATGTTCAGTTAGCATATAAAGGACAGGTTTTCTTGTTCTATCCCAGTAAGCCAAGCAAATTCCTGTGAAGCTAGCTGTTTCCCTTTCCTACTGCATTTTCCCCAAGATAAAGGTATAGAATGCATCACAGCCCTTTTATGAAGTCTGTTTGTTGTTACTTAGGTTAACTCCTCCTCCCAGGTTAATAATGTCTTGCCCCTAAACCTTGTCAAATGGAGAATATTGCTTCCATCTATCTAATTTCTTGTTGCTAACAATTGGGCTGACTAGAGAAGCCTAAAGTTAGGATGAAAATAAAATGCCACACACTGGAATTAACTTTTCTGGGGTATAAGAATCCGTAAGCAATGAGACTGTTCCCATCTTTTCTTTCATGAGCATAGGTGTTGCATTCCAGAGGTCTCAGCACCAGTACCAAAACTAGTAACCTCTTGGGGGTCACAGGATTACATCATTATGGTGGTTTTGGGGTTGTGTGTTTAACTTTGGACCTCCTTAATTTCAACATTTCATCAATTGCCAGCTTTTAGCAATCTTCTCACACTCACCCCATACTCCCCGTCACTAATCCAGTCCCAGATCACTTCACACCTAGACACAGACTTTTCTCTCTCTGGCACCACTGTAAGCCAGTCCTCTTGGTCACAATACCTCTGCTGTAACCAGCCAGCCTCCTAGGGATATTGTCATGTCTTGCATTTTCCTGCTTCTGCCTTAGCTCCAGCTTATCACCATCCTCCTCATCCATACCTGTTCATCAGTTTCTGACTTTAAGAAGGTTACCCTCTTCAGGAATCAGAACTCTGCTGATTCCTACTTTCTGTTCCCAGCCTGATCACCTCTGCCTTATGTTCTTTGGTGCAGGGCTGATAGTTTGTGTTTCTTTTATGACCCTAAATAGATTGTTAACCCTTGTGCCTGATGTCAGATTTGTTAACTAGGACTTACCACACTATCCCAAGGACATTCAACTACACTTACTTGGTCTCAGGCACTGTGGTTCAAGTAACAAGGAATTCCTGGTGCTGAGGAGGAGGCAGTACATCTGTGGCCTTGCAGGAAAATTCAGAAGTCAATACATTCCTCCATCCACCTCATTTACCTAAACTCATTCATCACCGTGTCAAAGATATATGTTCCTGCTCTCATTCCCTTGAGTAGGAAATCTCCAGGTGACCTGATGGTCATTCTGTGGTCATTGCTTCTGACCACACAGTTCATTAAGTTGACCATCCTTGAATGACACATTCCGACCAGGGATGGCGGTTGTTATGGGCTCAGTTGTGTTCTTTTCCAGTTCATACGTTGAAATTCTAACCCTCAGGAACTCAGAGTATGACCGTATGTGGAGATAGGGCCTTTAAAGAGGTAATTAAGGTAAAATGAGATAATATGAGTGGCCCCTGATCCAAGATGACTGGTGTCCTGATAAGAAGAAATTAGGACACATACAACACTGACTAAGGGACCACCCTGTGAGGACATAACAAGAAGGTGGCCATTTGCAAAGCAAGCAGAGAGGTTTCAGAAGAAACAAGACCTGCTGATATCTTGATCAACAGCCTCTAGCCTCCAGAACTGTCTGTTGTTTAAGCTGTCCGCTCTGTGGTATTTGTTATGGCAGTCCAAGCAAACAAATACAGTGGTCCTCCTGGATCACTCCAGGTTAGTAATCACACACTGACTGGGAGCGATGATCGTTCCCAGTCACTGCTTACCACATGTGGCCAGGGAAGGTGATCCTCTCCGGTAATGGCACGACACTCACCATATTCTGTCCAGGGAAGGGACCTTCCCCAGTCACATCAAGTCAGTCACCGCATACTGACCACATAATGATCAAGGAAAGTGATTCTCACCGATTCCATGTTTACTCCCTGTAGATGCAGAAAAGGAGGGTTTTGCACAGAGCAGAAGGCCTCAAACTCAAAACTCTTGCCACTGACACACCCTCCTTCTGAAGAATTCATGTGGAAAAGGCAAAACAAGCTCTACTACCTGTCTAGAACTGAATATACCAGAAACCTGTGGCTAGGCTAAAGGTAGCCAGACGCAGGCAAGGCCAACAGCCTCTGAAGGGGCGTGGCTCAACCCCCCACCCAACAGGGGTGCTCACTGAATGGAGACAGGCTCCTCCAAACAGATCCCCTCTCTGGAGGTAGGAATAGTGAGTGTACTCAGATGGAGATGTCGCAGTGCATTTACTCATGGTGCCTACAGCACATTGCAATTTTGAAAGCACTGAGAACCAGAGAGACTCTAAGAGACCTCACATCCCCTGACTCTCTTGAAACACTATTAGCAAAGCTAATTGGGGCTAGTTTTGTCTGATGAGAGTAATAACTCAGACTGGTACAAGTGTCTTCCTTAAAGGGTGACACAGCTTTCCTCTCCAAAACATCCATGATCAACTAGGGCCAATATGCCAATCCAACCACTCACTGCAGTTTATAGAGTATAACCTGTCCTGTAAAAGCTGTCCAAAAGAAATGCCACGCACATTGGCAAATGTTCTACTAGTCATATTTTAAAAAGTAAACACAGATAAAATTAATTTTAACAATTTATTTTATTTAACCCAATATTTCTAAAACATTGTCATTTCAACATGTAATCAACAAAAATTATTGAGACATTTTACTTCCTTTTTTAATATTGTCTTAAATCTAGTATTTTATACTTACAGCATGTCCCAATTCAGATGCCAAATTTTCATCGGAAACACTTGATCTGTATTTAGATTTCACAAAATTTACTGTTGCAAAAAGCAGATTCACATTCCTAAGTTGTTTTGAACAAACTAAAGTTTTTCACGCCAGGTGTGGTGGCTCATATCTGTAATCCTAGCACTTTGGGAGGCCAAGGCGGGCAGATGATTTGAGATCAGGAGTTCAAGACCAGCCTGGCCAACATGGTGAAACCCCGTCTCTACTAAAAATACAAAAATTAGCCAGGCATGGTGGCAGGTTCCTGTGATCCCAGCAACTCAGTAGGTTGAGGCAGGAGAATCACTTGAACGCAGGAGGCAGAGGTTGCAGTTAGCCGAGATTGTGTACCACTGCACTCCAGCTTGGGCGACAAAGCGAGACTCTGTCTCAAAAATAAATAAAGTTTTTCAATAACTAAATACAGTATCAGTTTCTTAATATAAATTTAATGACAATGAAATAAAATAGAAAATTTTGTCATGTTAGCCACATCCCAAGTGTTTCATGGCCACATGTGGCTACTAAGTTAGGCAGTGTAGGTCTGAAGGGCTAGAAACGTGCCTTCTAATTGTGTCTAAATTTCCAGTGCTAGAGACAATCAGAGCAGTCTGGAGCTAGAAAAATTCTTGCAGTTCAGTAACCCAACTCCCTTGTTTTAGAAGGGAAGAAACCTACAGTGAGAGAAGTTGAGGGACTTGCAAAAGATCACACACCTAAATTCGGTGGTACATATCTGAACAATAATTTAGGTCTCCTGACTCTTAATCCTAAGATATTATTTAAGCCTCTTCACATCAGACATACTTCAGAATAAAGTAATTTTTAAATTTATCTGAATCATCACTCCGATGATACAGGCAAGAGAAAGCAAACCTGTATCCCAACTGCATTCTCATAACCTGATAAGAGCACACCCTACAATATTTAAGGCACCCTCCTTCCACTCTGTCTTAGGGTCCATGTGGTTTCATCTGTCAGCTCTCTTACCTCAATGCATCACTGCTTCCTCTCCTTGGAGCCACCTGGCCGAACATCGCTGCCGCCCGCCCACAGAGCATCCGGCCACATTTTTCTGTCTGCAGTTTTCCTCTCCCAGGTGTCTACCACACGTTATTTAAGGTTGTGCTTCAGAGAATCCTTTATATTTGCAAACCAAAATATTCAGTAGAAACTACAGTAAAGTTGTAGAAGAGCTGCTATGCTCCAGCCACAAACACACCAGGCTCTAAAGTTCTACCTCGTGAGAAGCTGTGAGAGAGAAAGAGAAGATATATGTGTGGTTAAGTGTGTGACATCAGGCAGCCCTGCCTTCAAGTCCCAGTTCTGCCCATTCCTTGTTGTGTGATTTTGGGCGATCCTCAGTTTTCTCATCTGTGAAATGGGGATAATAATAATAGCTACCTCCATGAGATTGAAATGGGATAATGCATACTAAGAACAGTGCCTAACAAGAATAAACCCTTGGTTCTGTTCCTACAAGCTATTATTATTTACCAGTGCTTTGCCAGCTCCCCATGTGCACTACTGCGCCCTGTGACTAGCAAGATGCTCAAGACATTGTGGGTTCTATATAAATATTTGTCAAATGGCTTTATAAGATACTTTCGATTTTCCTCACATCTTATGGTTGATGCTAGTAGGGATCATTGGGAGAAAAATGTCATTGGAAAGGAAAGGGGAGAGGGAGGTGACTGCTTTTCCTTTCAGTATCTATCTGGTGGAGACACCCAAGTTCGGAATGAAGCTCTAAGGGTCAACAAATGGTGGAGTCCAGGGGGCCGTGTGAGATAAAGAAATTAGTCACTAGTGTTTAAAGGAAGTAGATATCAAGTGGTGCAAAGAAATAAATACAGGGTATAAATATAGGGTGCTGTCTATTTGATTTGAGTAGATAACGCCTACTAGCTCTCCCTAATAAATCTCTTCCTTTTTCACTTTGCTAAGAAACTTCCTCTGCCAACTGCATATACCATGAATGACAACCTGCTATCACATTCTCCAGGGTACATGGCAGGTACCCTTCCAGAAACCCTTCACGTAGTGAGTCTTCTTACAGCAGGCAGTAGCAGATATAGATAAGGCAGAGCCAACTTTTAATCCCCAGCAACTCCCTCATTAGGAGTGATCTTTGTGTCAACTGGTGTAAGGTGATAGCATGAACATTGAGAAGGCCAATCTACTCTGAAAGTTGAGCCATTTTGTGGCATAAAAGCATTAGTAATGTGGGAAATGGTACTATTCCTGATTATCACAGCATTCCTGACATTGAGAATATTCAAAGATTCTTGAATCTTTTTAGTAGTTGGCCTTTCCTTTAGATTTATAGAGCAGCATTTCATGGCTTCACTTTTACCGAAGAATCAGTAAGTTCAGAGCTGTTCAGAAACCTTTAAAAGGTCACAGATTATGAGAGAATGGTTCTGTAATTTACCAGCTGTGAGATCTTGACCAGGTTAGAAAATCTCTGTGCCTCTATTTTTCATCTGTAAAATGGAGATAATATACTTGCCTCATAGTGTACATGGCAACAACAGTTCATAAATAATGAAACTGGCACTGTTCTAAATGTGTTGCTTATGTTAATTCATCTAATGCTCACATCCTCCTATGAGTTACAGTGCTATATTTTCCTCCTTTAAAGATAAGAAAACTAGCCAGGCACGGTGGCTCACACCTGTAATCCCAGCACTTTGGGAGGCCAAGGCAGGTAGATCATGAGGTCAGGAGATTGAGACCATTCTGGCTAACATGGTGAAACCCCATCTCTACTAAAATTACAAAAAAAAAAAAAAATTAGCTGGGCGTGGTGGTGGCTTCTGTAGTCCCAGCTACTCGGGAGGCTGAGCCAGGAGAATGGCGTGAACCGGGGAGGCAGAGCTTGCAGTGAGCCGAGATCACACCACTGCACTCCAGCCTGGGCAACAGAGTGAGACTCTATCTCAAAAAAAAAAAACAAAAACCAGAAAACTAAGGGACGTGGAAGTTATATACTTGCTCGCAGTCATTCAAGTCCATCCTCTACTACACAGACTTTTTTTTTTTTTTTTTGAGACAGGTTCTCACTCTGTCAACGAGGCTGGAGTGCAGTGGCACAATCTCAGCTCACTGCAACCCCTGCCCCCCAGGCTCAAGTGATTCTCGTGCCTCAGCCTCCTGAGTAGCTGGGACTACAGGCGTGCATTCCACACCCAGTTTTTGTTTTTTTTTTTTTTTTTTAGTAGTGACAGGGTTTCGCCATTTGCCCAGGCTGATCTCAAACTCCTGAGCTCAGGCAACCCCCCTTCCCCCAGCCTCCCAAAGTGTCAGGATTACAGGCGTGAGCCACCACACTCAGCCTACACAGACTTTTACTGTGTGGATATTTAATAACTAGCTACTAACAAAAGAGCACACCTTCTTGGGTGTTTTATTCATCTAGTTCCTGGAGTCCTTGTTCTTTTCAGCCTTTTGTTTCTTCTCATATCTACCATTCCAAAATTGCTTTATTGTTAAAATAACTTTTCAAGTATATAAAAAATGCAAAGGGAGAGGGCTCAGAGTTAGAGACATCTGGTCGAAACTCCTGTTTAGCTTAATATAGATACAGATGTTTACATATAGAAATATTTATAGGTTATGTGTATATACATGGGTTGACATACACATGTATAGCTCCTTGCTCTGTTAGCTGAGGGTGCCTAAAAAGTAATGACACCTCAGAAACAACAGCATGCTTAGCACTGAGGTCTTAGTCTCTAATATCATTCTCCAAGAAAAGGAATCAAAGCTCCTTGGAGAAATGGCTGCTTCTGTGACTGAGGATGGAAATATACAGATGGGCCTGAAGTATCTTGTAGTCCAGAAAGAAGGAAGTGCAAGCGAACACCACCATGCAATTATGGGGGCATTCAAAGAGAAGGGAACCAGGAGCCAACTACAAGAGCTCACAATGGCCAAAGCTAGGACAATTTGAGCAACACAAGAAATAAAGCAGTAGTAGACTATAACCCAAAGTATAAAATAAATGTCTATGAATTCATACTGACATAAATAAATGGTTGAAAGAATAGACAAATCTTCCATACAGAAGAAATATGAGCAATTTATGCAGATACTCCACCCTCAAGTCGGTGGAGCATAACTCCCCACTCCTTAAGTGTGGGCTGCCCATAGTGACTTTCTTCCAAAGACTGAAATATAGGAAGAGATGGGGAGAAAGCACCTTTAGGGTGGAGAAACCTGACGAAACCTACCTCAAGCCAGATGATCAAGGTTAAGGTCAGTAGTCATAAGTCATAAGTCATGATGTTATGTATCCTTAATATAACATGATAAGTATGATACTTTGCCTGTGTAGTCTTCCTCCCAAAAACCCACAATCCCAGTGCAACCATCAGAAAATCATTAGGCAAATCCCAGTTGAGGAACATTCTATAAAATACCTGACCTATACTCCTCAAAACTGTCAAGGCCATCCAAAACAAGGGAAGTCTGAGAAATAATTACAGCCAAGAGAGACCTGAGGAGATGTGACGACTAAGTGTAGTGTGGTATGCTGGGTGGGAACCTGGAATAGAAAAATGATGCTAGGCAAAAACTAAGGAAATCTTTATTTAATAATAATGTATTAATATTGGTTTATCAGTTGTGACAAATGCACCCTTGCTAATGTAAGATCCTATAATAAAAAGGGAAATTGGTTGGGTATGAATCTAAAACTGCTCTAAAATAAAAGGCTTTGTTTAGAAAAATGAATGAGTCTGCCATTGCTTTAAATATTCAAATTTAGAGAATGTAGAACTAATAAAATAATCAAAATATAGCCCTTCTATTATTTTTGCAGTCTATTAAAAACACCATTGTACCAGTAATTTGATGCAGGTTCAATCCAATATCAACCTCCAATCAAAATTTCCAAGTCAGATAAAAGTATATGTAATAGGAATCCAGAAAGAGATCCAGAAAATTGTGTTTCAATATTATGTATATCATCTGATTTTAATCACAAAGTGAATCTTTCATCTAGCATGTTGCCTGCCTCTCCTTTAATTTCTAATATGGTAAGTATTGAGCATACTAACCATGTCCTATGGACTATACTTACTAGATTACCATATTTACCATTACTTATCTACGTAGATATAACCTGCATCAACCAAAACTCTTTGAGGTCCTGAGTAATATTTGAGTGTAGAAGTTTGAGAACCAAACAGCTTGAGAACCACTATTCTCATCATAGTGACCGATTTCAAGTCTTTCAAGACTGGGACATTTGTTACTCTATGGCCACCCTGTATCTTAACCCCATCAGTGTTTAGAGAATTCCTCACCTTTTGAGTCCATGACAGTGAAAGTGACAAATATACTCCTTGTAGCTTGGGAGGAACAATTACCTTAGGTTCTATCAACCAATCACACATATGCACTTGAACCTTTGAATCTGGAGCTAGTAAGTCTGGGCCATGAAGAATGCTGAGACGGAAGGAGCAATCAGGCCCTGGAAGCAGCAGGTCTAGTGGCATCTCCAGTGTCCACGGCACAAGCTGCAGTGTAGAATCCTGAGTTTGGGCAATAGTGTCGTCATCTTCCCCTGAACAATCCACAGACATGACTTTGGATGTTTTTCCTAGTTATCTTGTCCTAACTTTGGTTCTCCAGCCTGGATCTCCTTTCTATGAACTACTCAATATCCTTTAAATACATTGTTTTTCAGCTTCAGATATCCAGAGATGTTTAGTTGCTTGCAATTAAGAACTCTGACTGGTCCTATGAAAAACTGATTTCTTAGTTAGCTTCTGTGGTTATATATTTTGACCACTTTTATATTAATCAGCCTTTCTGAAATTCTACAAATAAACCATGGTTAACCAAAATAAAAAGAAAGCAAAATAAATGTACCCTTTGTTTTATCTGCCATAGAAAACGAACAACAGCCAGGCACGGTGGCTCATGCCTGTAATCCCAGCATTTTGGGAGGCTGAGGCAGGAGGATCACTTGAGGCCAGGAGTTTGAGACCAGCCTGGGCAACATGGTGAAACTGTCTCTACAAAAATAAATAAATAAATAAATAAATAAATAAATTAGGCAGGCATGGTGGCATGCGCCTGTAGTCCTAGCTACTCAGGAGGCTGAAGAAGGGGGACTGCTTGAGCTCTGGAGTTCAAAGTTGCAGTGAGCTATAATTGTGCCGTTGCACTCCAGCCTGGGCAACCCTGTTTAAAAAAAAAAAAAAAAAGAAAAAAAGAAAACAAACAACAACACAAATAAGTTAAAACATCTAGCTTTTTGAAAGATGAAAAAAAATGTTGGCCTTCTACTCTGGCTATACATTTTTACTTAGACTTTGGAATTGTGATCCAACTTTCAACAAGCAGAGTGTAAGATTTTCATTGTATTACTTCCCAGCTGTGCAATTTCTATAAAATGGGCAAGAGGCTCTGAAGAGAATGCCTGGTGACGCCATGCCATGTGCTTAGTTCATTATAAATCATTTCAAGTACCTCCAGCCTCGCTGAGCCAGTCAAAACAGAAATCTTCTAACGCATTTGAGAGAATCTTGTTTTATAGAGTGCTTAAGAGAGGCATGAAAAGCATACTAGATTTCAAATGTACCAAATTATCCAGAAAGGATTTTGGAACTGGTTCCTATTAGGTTACTTTTCATTATTATTTAATACGACATATAAAATATAACGCTTTTCTGTTTGAGCTGCTAGTGCCTGGAATGGTTCTGCCTTCTACAATTTCGCAAGCAAATTTTAACGCATTTCTATTCTAGTCTAGTTACTACCTTATTGCTAGACATCAAAAGTGAAAAGTGTGCAGGTCAGTTGGGCCCTTCAGATCTTTCCATTTCATGCTAACTCGAATTATTAGGGACTTAAATTAATTTTGACTAGAAAAAGCATCTTCTTCTACAGTTGAAATACTACCACAGATGAAGGATTCTTTGAAGCAGCGTCTTGAAATAATTTAGGGAAAACGTACAAGGTGAGCAACCCATTGCTATTTCCTCTCATCTCCAATTTCCACAGTTAACTTCTCAGCAGAAAGGCTTGTGTATAGTAGAAATCCACAGACAAGCATAAATTAGTACACCCCACCTTGAGAACAGGTTGAGAAATTTAAAAACTGGCACATGGAATGACCATTGTTAAGCTATTTCTTGCAAGCCTAAACTACAGATGCACCTTTTAAAATATGAGATGTTTGAGCACTTGACAGATGATTATCTTGGTCTACTTGAGAGAAGTTCCACAGGCATAAAATCAGTTGTCTTTATTTCTTCCTGTCTCTCACCCAGGCCTTTTTTTTTTCTTCCTGCTAAGAACAGGAAATTGCAGAAATAAAGATTTGATCAGTCGCCATTAATTCAGTAAGCTTTGTTTAGTTTAACCTAAGCTAACAGCACATTTATAATTTGCCCAAATAAATCACACAAATTATCAGAATAGGCTAGTTTTGTATATAATTATCTCTTAATCACCAGTCCTTGCGTTCTTCTTCTCATTAAGCCTGTCTCTGAGGAGGTTGTCCTTTCACAGTAAAAATAGGCAATACCTTTGAGACACTTTCTGTTACTCATTGACCTAGAAAAATCCCCTCTAGTAGCTCAGTCCTGAGTAGGTCTGAAAGCTTCTGGGTCAATCACACATGCTGAATGTGGCACAGGATATATTAATATTAATAACACTTGATGTCTGTACAGCATTTTAGTCAATATAGAGCTTTCACATGCAATGACTTATCTGAGCCTCAACAGTCTGGGGATTACTGTTAGCAAAGCTAGTGTTATCCCATTTTACAGATGAGAACAGAGGTCGTGAGAGTGACTTGTCCATCAGAGGTCAGGGTTCAGTCTAGGGCTGAAGACTGTGGGCTCTTTCGAGTGACCCCTAACAGAGAAGACTCTCCAGAGAGCACACTTACCTGAGACATGCTTTCTCTTTTCTCTCACCCCACCCCTTGCCTGAAGCATTATAGGAGCCCTATGACAGATCAGCTGCGAACAATGCAGAAGAAAGGGAAACATAATTTTTCTGGAGGACCCAAAGTCCAGATGGCAAGCCAGACCAAGCCCCACGGCTGTCTTACCTGCAGGTGTGTGCAGCACCAGAAGCCCCAAAACAGTGTTCACATCTCCCCATCTGGCCGGGCCACACTCACTCCCTGCTGTGGCCCAGATTGCCTGAGGAGGTTTCAGGTGGGGATTTAGGAAAATCAAGAATGATTTGCCACCTAAAGTAATAAGATTTAGCACAGAACTAAGAATTGCAAACCAAGAGCTAAGGTTAGAGGAAGATATTTAAGAGAAAGAAATGTACTTGCTGTTTTTAAAAGTTGACATTTCTGTAGTAAGAATGAAGAACTAAGAGTACAAATAATTAATTGTTTTTACAGTGAAATGACACAGAGGAATGTTCTAAGTAAAGCGGGGCAATACATTTATACGCAAGGTGCAATGTATCCGTCATTTTATTTAATTCTTGGAACACAACCTTGAATGGTTATTCTCACTTCTCAGATGAGGAAACCCAGGCTTACAGAGTTTGAGTGACTTACTTAAGGCCATATAGGGAGTGAGTGAAGACAAAATTTGAACTCAGATTACAAATCCCATTTCTTTTCAGGATACTGCACTACAATCCAAGTACAGCTTACCTGTTCTCACTTTTATTTTCCATTATGTCCCATCTCTGTAACTCATTATTCAAATAAGTTTATATTATTATAGTGGGAACCTACTTATCTGGTTATCTAACTTCTAAGGAACAGGAAGTAGGTCAAAACTCTTCTGAGAAACATAATAGATGTTACAACGTTCACATGTGAGAAGATTCTCCTTGGCAGCCATTCTGTCTTTCAAGTATACGCTGTAATTATTTTGGATGTTTATAGGACTGCAATGATAGGATACTGTGGGAGCTTTCCCTCTGATCTTCCAATGACTGGCTGCTCTTCCAACTTCAGTTCTCATCTTAAATGTTACATCCTCTGAGAGGCTTTCTCCATCCCTTGCTGCTCCCTGTTCTTTATAGCACTTTTTATAACCATTGGTAATTATGGACTTATTTGTTTATTGCCCATCTTCCCCATGACATTGTAAACTCCCCAAAGGCAGGAAACATGGCTGCTTTATTCAGCAGTGTTTCCTAGCACTTATGGTACCTGGCACAAAGTATGGTAAGTGTTCATGGGATGGATGAAAGAATGGACAAAGGGACATGCAGAAATATGTGGTTTTGTCGTCTGACCTAGGGAAGACTGGATTACGTTTTGAGCTAGGGTAGCTCAATCACCCTTTCCATATAAATAGCCTTGAGATTTGGTGGCCTCCCAAAGACAATAGACAGGAGCTATGAAGCCAGTCCACTGGGACAGGAGGAGGAAGGAAAGTAACATCTACTGAGCCCTTAACAAGTACAAAGCAATGAACTATTAGAAGTAATGGTGGCTGGGTGCGGTGGCTCAATGGTGGCTCATGCCTGTAATCCTAGCACTTTGGGAGGCCAAAGCAGGTGGATCATGAGGTCAGGAGTTCAGGACCTGCCTGGCCAAGATGGTGAAACCCCGTCTTCACTAAAAATACAAAAATTAGCCAGGTGCAGTGGCAGGTGCCTGTAATCCCAGCTACTCGGGAGGCTGAGGTAGGAGAATCACTTGAACCCCAGTGGCAGAGGTTGCAGTGAGCCAAGATTGTGCCACTGCACTTCAGCCTGGGTGATACAGTGAGACTCCGTCTCAAAAAAAAGTAATGGTAAAACCCACAATTACTCTTGCACCAACCTAATAGCTGTACATGGACTTATTTAACATAAAAAGCACTGCAGGAGAAAGAAAAACACCTATTTTACAAATGAAAAAAGTGAGACTTACACTGGTGAGGTTGCCCAACGTCACCCAACAAAGTGGCAGAACCAGGATATGAAGTGCAGAACCAGGATATGAAGTTAATCTGTCACTTTTTTTTTTTTTTAATAAAGCAAATTTGGCCAGGCACAGTGACTCACACCTGTAATCTCAGAACTTTGGGAGGCCAAGGTGGGAGGATCGCTTGAGCTCAGGAGTTCAAGACCAGATTGGGTAACATGGCAAAACCCCATCTCTACAAAAAATACAAAAATTAACTGGGCATGGAGGTGCACCTGTGGTCCCAGCTACTCAGGAGGCAGAGTTGAGAGGATCACTTGAGCCCAGGAGGTCAAGGCTACAGTGAGCCATGATCACACCACTGCGCTCCAGCATGGGTGACAGAGTGAGACCCTGTCTTAAAAAGAAGCAAATTTACTTTAAAATGTTTGTCTTTTTTTATTGACCCATAACTTACATACAAGAGGTGCTTATATTTTAAGTATGCAGTTGATAACAAATATGCATACACCCTTGTACCACCACCCAAATCAAGAAATAGTACACTTCTGGCCATGGAGAAGTCCTCCCCAATTCCAGTATCTCCATGGTAAGCACGGTTTTGACTTCTATGATCACCAGCTCCTGTTGCCTGTTTTTAAAGTTCACATGATGGAACCTTAACGGTGTGCCCTCTTTGCGTTAGGACTCTTTTTTTTTTTCTTTTTTGACAGATTCTCGCTGTGTCACCCAGGCTGGAGTGTAGTGGTGCTATCTCAGCTCACTGCAACCTCTGCCTCCTGGGTTCAAGCGATTCTCCTGCCTCAGCCTCCCAAGTAGCTGGGACTATAGAAGCCCGCCACCATGCCCAGCTTTTTTTTTTTATTTTTTATGTTTTTGTAGTTTTAGTAGAGATGGGGTTTCACTATGTTGGCCAGGCTGGTCTTGAACTCCTAACCTCATGATCCACCCGCCTTGGCCTCCCAAAGTGCCGGGATTACAGGCGTGAGTCACTGTGCTCGGCTGTGTTAGGACTCTTTTGTCTGTGGATTCATCTACGTTGTTGCTTGCAGCAGCAATTGATCTTTTTCATCGCCGAGTTATATTATCATGAATTACTATAATCACAATCTATTCTACTATTGACAGACATTTGCATTGTTTTCAGTTTTATTAATAAAGTGCTATGAAACAAATCCTGAACATTTGTTTTGGTGGACATAAGCACTCATTTCTGTTGGGTACACACTCGGAAACTGGAATTGCTAGTCATGGTGTGCATATATTTGGCTGTAATTGATGCTGCTAAACAGTTTATCAAAGTGGTTACATCAATTTACACTCCTACCAGTAATGCAGAGAATTCCCATTGCTCCATATCCTTGATAGGTGTTAACTATCATCAGTTCTTTTCATTTGAGTCACTCTGGTGAAGATAAGCGATGCTTTTATAAACTATGCATGGCACCTCTGAATGGGTTATAAGCCCTCAGAAGAGGAAAGATCAAGAGTTTGCTTCTGGCTCTTACATGAATCTGACTTGATACTACTCCCTGGTCTCAAGAAAATGAGGCTTACATTTCTGGCCACCTACTAGGTGAAGTGGAGCCTCCCCAAAGAATAGAAATAGACTAACAACTGGCTCACAAATGCAATTAACACAAATAGAGAAATGGGTCAGAGCCAAGGGCAAGACTTTCACCTCTTTGGTCAGAACCACAGAGACCTCCAACAGAGGGGTGAACAAAGCCTCGTCAAAGTCAGTCCACCTTTTGAACTGGACTATTAGAGCAGAACTAGTTTGAAGTTAGTGAGGAAGTGCCTGCCTCATGTAGAGGGTCAGACAACTGTCACTACAGTTATTGTATTTTGAGCACTTTGTGTGTGCTACACCTGGGGCTTTATGCTTTATAGAAGGTAATAGTTGGGACTGTTGGGTTGTAAATAACAGAATCCAACGTAATTTTTTAAATATTTATTTTTATTTTAAATTCCAGAGTACATGTGCAGGATGTGCAGGTTTGTTACATAGGTAGACATGTGGCATGGTGGTTTGCTATACCTGTCAATCCATCACCTAGGTATTAAGCCCAACATGCATTAGCTATTTTTCCTAATCCTCACCCTTCCCCCACCCTACCTCCTGACAGGTCCCAATGTGTGTTGTGCCTCTCCCTGTATCCATGTGTTCTCATTGTTCAGCTCCCACTTATAAGTGAGAACATGTGGTGTTTGTTTTTTTGTCCCTGCATTAGTTTGCTGAGGATAATGGCTTCCAGGTCCATCCATGTCCCTGTAAAGGACATGATCTCATTCCTTTTTATGGCTGCGTAGTATTCCATGGTGTATATGTACCACATTTTTCTTATCCAGTCTATCACTGATGGGCATTTGGGTTGATTCCATGTTTTTTGCTATTGTGAATAATGCTGCAATGAACATATGCATGCATTTATCTTTGTAATAGTATGATTCATACTCCTTTGGGTATATACCCAGCAATGGGATTGCTGGGTCAAATGGTATTTCTGGCTCTAGATCTTTGAGGAATTGCCACACCATCTTCCACAATGGTTGAACTAATTTACATTCCCACCAACAGTGTAAAAGCGTTACCATTTCTCCATAACTTTGCCAGCTTCTGTTGTTTCTTGACTTTTTAATAATTGCCATTCTGACTGGCATGAGATGGTATCTCATTGTAGTTTTGATTTGCATTTTTCTAATATTCAGTGATGTTGAGCTTTTTTTCTTATGTTTGTTGGCTGCATGAATGTCTTCTTTTGAGAAGTGTCTGTTCATGTCCTTTGCCTACATTTTAATGTTTTTTGTGGTTTTTTTTGTAAATTTGTTTAAGTTCCTTGTAGATTCTGGATATTAGACCCTTGTCAGATGGATAGATTGCAAAAATTTTCTCCAACTCTGGACCAACCTGATTATTAATAAAACTTAATTTACTTAAAGGACAGCTATTCTGAGATTCTCCTTCTCTTTATATAAATATGTTAAAATTTATTGCTTATTATGCAATAATGATGAGTGGATGATAATTGCTACTTGTTATTGGCAAATGTTCCTTTTAACTGTACGTGTAGTTTGTAACACTAGGCCATTCTCCTGTTCCCACCAATCAATATTTTTCTTTTGAAGCGTGGGGCTGAATTTTACTGCTACATGACAACCAGGTGAGAAAGTTACTGTTTCATACTGTTCTTTAACACATGTGCACTTTCATCTTGTATCCAAGAATAGCCCTCAGGTTCTTGTCAACAACATCCTCTCTATTCACATAGCCAAAGGTTAGGTGAGTTTGTGTATCTGATTTCTCAGCATATTACTAATTTAAGGCAGCAAAGTAGAGAATGAGGAGGGGCTACTTTAGTCAAAATGAAGCAAAAATGAAATTTTAGTGAACCAGAAAGGAGAATTAGAATGGTATTAACAGTAAAGCATAGTCTGGACCATTTAATTTAGGAATAAAACAGTTGAATATCTACCCAACTATTACAGCATAATATTGTTTGTTGTCTATAAGGGTGACCCTAAGTTATCAACAAATACATTTTCTCTAGTGTGTCCTATTTAAGATCATAGAAATTTGTATATCTTTTAAAAGATCCCCATAAGAAGAGTTAAAATGTTTAGGTTTTTCACACTTAGAGAGTTATAATAAGCTGTAAAAGTCTTTTATGTGGAATAATTTAGTTCTTGGGAATGGAAGATAACTGAAGGTATTACTCTAAGAAGTAAAAAGATAAATAGATGTATTATCAATTACTTGACAAACAGTGTCATGTGTGGCTTGAATGATGAATTTAGTTGACTACTTAGTGTGAAACTGCTTCTTTAGATTTCTGCACACCCATCTGTGTAATGAGTTAGCTACTCCAGAACCTTTCTAGGCATGGCACCATAGTAGCTGGTTTCCAAATCTCTGGCACTTTATTCACTTTATTAGGTGGAATCTGTCACTGAAATATTTCTCTGTAACCAATAATTCTCTTTTCTTCTTCTTTTTTTTTTTTTTTTTAAAAAAAAACTCCATTTACTTTTAATGCAAAATATCAGATTTACTATCTATAACACAATTATATTGCTTAGGATGAAAACATTGCTTACCTATCAAGCAAAGATTCTTCTCATTGCGTGGGAGGCGAGAATTCTGCCACTGAACCAGCAGTGCTTCCTCATATTCTTCTCATTGCTTGGTGTTTTTGCAGTTGTCTGTGCTCATTGTTATAGTTGCTATTTGGTTGCAGTTAAAGATTGGCCTCTTGTTACCCTATGAGTAAAGAACCATTAATGAATTGATCTGGGGGGCTGTGTTACATATTCTGCTTTTAGGGCTAATTTTAAAATTAGCTATTAAATTTTAAATACTTTAATTTTAAAAAATTGTTTTAGATTTATAGAAAAATTGAGAAAATAGTAGAGTTTCCATATACCTCACACTAGTTTCCCTTGCCAACATCTTACATTAGTATGGCACAATAGCTATAATTAAGAAATCAACACATTTTTATTAACTAAAGTCCATACATTATTCAAATTTCTTTTGTATTTACCCAATGTTGTCTTTCTGTTCTAGGATCCTATCCAGGACACCACATTCCACTTAGTCATCATATCTCATTAGGCTCCTCTTGGTTGTGATCATTTTTCAGACTTTTCTTGGTTTTGATGGCTTTGACAGCTTTGAAGAGCACTGGTTAGCTATTTTGTAGAGTGTCCCTCTATTAGAGATTGTCTGATTATTTTCTCATGGTTACATTGGGATTATGTATTTGGGAAGAAAGACCACAGAGATAAAGTGTCATTTTTATCCCATCATATCAAAGGCACACACTATTCACGTGATTTATAACTGTTGATGTTGAACTTGAGCATCTGGCTGAGGTAGTGTTTCTCCGGCTTCTTCACCGTAACTTTTCTCCCCTTTCCTCCTTCCTTTGCTGTACTCTTTGGAAAGAAGTCAGTATGGGTAGCCCCCACTTAAGAGTGGAGTATCTACATAAATTGTTTGGAATTCTTCTGCCCAGATTTGTCTCTTCATTTATTAATTATTCAATCAATTATTTATCAGTATGAACTTAGTTATATAAAATAACTTTGTGTTATAATCAGATACTACTTTATTTTGTTGTCCAAACTGTTCCAGCTTTGGCCACTGGAGCTCTTTTAGTTAGCTCCTGCATCCCTTTGACAGACTCTCATGGTGTTTTTTGGTTTTATTTTTAAAACTCACTTCAGTTTCTAGCACTACAAGATGCTCTAGGCTTATCTTGTATATTTCCTAGAAGCAGTCATTTCTCCAAGGAGTAGGGCTAATTTTGAAATATTATTTTATGTCTTAAGTAAAAAAGACTTAGCTAAGGACAGGTGCAAAGTCAGTTAGAATACATTTGCTAACGTGCACTCATACAACCATTACCACACCTAAACTCCGTGGCAGGATGAAAAAGATAGGTACATACACTCCAGCCACCACATTATTGGTATTCCTGCTTGGTTCTAAGTTTCAGGCAGCCTGTTATCTTCATTCCTCCTTAAACATTATTATGAGTGACATAACAGACAGGCTAATTGCAGATGAGAGAAAAACAAACCCAAACATTTTCGCTCCAAATTATCAGTACTATGGTGTGAGAAGAGACTCTGATGATATATACATTGCTTTTCAAACCAGTGATACACACACCTCAGGGTACAAAGCAGCAAGTCAAGGAAGAGGCAAAATCAAAGTAGTATCTTAGTGTATCATCCAATGTCTTTAATACTTAGGGTTACTTAATAATAACAAGTGGCTATTAAAGCTAAAGGGGAAAAATTATATTTTTAAATTGAAACCCAGTTTGACATATGAACAATTTAAATTTACTTAAAAATAAATGAAACACGAATAATTTTGTATTGGTAGAGCTAGCTGCATGTTCATATTTGAAGGGTCCTTTATTATTATTGGTGATTTGATACAAAGTTGAAGAAATGCTGATATGGAGTAATAGTAAATTAGCACTAATTGGTTAATAGCTCTTTAGTTAACAGTTAAAAATGGCTTGTTTTGTTCTGGAAAGCCAACCATTCAAGGCTAGAATTGGCCCCTAAGGGAAATGCATGGCTCCTCTTCATTCTCCCTCCCTTCCTCCCAGAGAAGCACTGTTCTAGTTAGGACAGGCTCAAGAATCCAGAGTTGTGTTCTTCTTGGGGATTTGATCACTTCAGATTTCTCTTGAATTTCCAGGCCATGAGGCTGGAGTGTAGGGAAGTTGCCCATCCTTATGCAAGTATGACCATCTCATCTGGGAGCCCTCCCATTTTTCTGGACCTATCAGAAGGACCTGGACTCTTTTCATTCAGGGTTCCTCTGCCCCAAGAAGACCTGAAGTGGGCAATCTGGACCAGCGCTGCTTTAAGTATTAGAAAATATATTATCCTACTTCTCTTTATATGCCGGCTTTCTCTTTCTGGAATTTGCCTTCCCTTGAAATAAGATGTAGAAGGTCAAGCTGTGAATGTGGGTTTAGGAAAAAACAAGCAACCTCTTGGCCTCTTTTGGGCCTTGGTCCATTGAACTGCTGTAACAGAATACCAGAGACTTGGTAGTTTATAAACAACAAAAATTTATCTCTTACAGTTCTGCAGTTCAAGATCAAGGCTCTGGCAGATTTGGAGCCTGTTAAGGGCTGGCTTCCTGGTTCATAGATTGCTGTCTTTTCACTGTGTTTTCACATGGCAGAAGGAATCTATGGGGTTTCTTTTATAAGGGCACTAATCCCATTCATGATAGTTCCACCTTTAGGATCTAGTCACCTCTCGAAGGCCCCATCTCTAAACACTATCACATTGGAAATTAGGTTTTAACATATAGATTTTGAGAGGACACAAACATGCATTTTTAAAGCATTCAGTCTTCTTAGACCTGACTCTACTTATACTCAAAAGATGTCATTCATATGGTTGAATTCAATTCTAAAGAGATTAATTTGGATGTTGGGACAAAAGCCTCATAGTAATAAAAAGTAGGTCTTTACTTGGCCATGAAATCAGGAATTTAATTTGGGGGCAGGAGCAGGGAGAGGGATGTGTTGATGAGGTTCAAGAATTTGGACTTGGGGTCCATTTTCCATGCCAAATGAATACCAACCTAGATATGAATTCTTATACTAGCCAAGGGGTGGTATTCTGTGTAGCAAGGGTGGTATTTAATCACATTATAAATTGTCAGAAAATATATATTGTTCCAATAATTTACACTTTTCTAGCTTTTCTTTTCTTTCTTTCTTTTTGTTTTTTTTGAGATGGAGTTTTGCTCTTTGTTGCCCAGGCTGGAGTGCAATGGTGCCATCTCGGCTCACTGCAACCTGCGCCTCCCCAGTTCAAGTGATTCTCCTGCCTCAGCCTCCCCAGTAGCTGGGATTACGGGCGCCGGCCAACACACTCAGTCAATTTTTGTATTTTTAGTAGAGATGGGGTTTCACTATGTTGGCCAGACTGGTCTCGAACTCCTGACCTCAGGCGATCCACCTGCCTCGGCCTCCCGAAGTGCTGGGATTACAGGCCTGAGCCACTGCTCCTGGCCCCTAGCTTTTCCTTTCTAAGTGAAACACCAGTGATTAAACATCTTTTGGAAGCATCTATCCATACAAGGATTTGAAAATAATAGGACAAATAAAGTGTGTGAAACTCATGTGTATCAAGGTAAACATTATATCTTTATCAGATGTTCTCATTTCTTTATTCTTGCGATTCCAAAGTTAACTTTGGCTGACAAATGAGGTATCTATTTAGAAGGGGAAAAAAAGTAGTTAATGGGTCAACATTTTTGAGCAAGAAAAGGAGGAGAAAAGTATGAAGAGACTTCAACTTCATACTTAAACTTTACTTCATACTTAAACCAGAATGTCTTTAACTGGTTTAAGTATGAAATAAAGAACAGTATGAAAGACTTCCTGGGATGGTGGATAGTGGGAATTATTCATTATTATTTGTTACTAAACTCTCACTAATTAAATGGGGTTCAGGATTAAAGGAAATTACGAAGGCAGATATATTTATCATTCTAAAAACACACTGAGGTCCAAGGATACAGAGGGATGTCATGGCACAAAAGCCAGAAGTCAGTGCTGTGAATCAGTATCTTGCTCTTCCCCCTCTTCCCCCTTCAATAACAATGTCAGACTTCAGTCGGTGATAGGAGATGAATCTTCTGCTTAAATGCTGTCATGTGATATATGAAGTTCATTTCTAGTGTAAAATATGTAATAAGAAGCTTAATGGCACACGTATTCCATGAAATCTTGACAGGGTTGCTCTTAACTCATATGAATTAACACAAGTTGGTTTTCACGAGTTAATTCATATAAATTAACATGAGTTGCTAAATACAGATCATTTTAAGGGCACCCCTTAGTGATTGACTGCCCTCATAGTGTGTAGAGATATATATATATACACACACACACACACACATATATATATGGCGCTATATATATATTCCCCATCTCTTTTTATTAACTGCCGTGTTTTAGTAACATTTTACTTATCTGGCCAATTTACACCACTAGTCAACTAAATATAAAAGATAATGTTATCCATTAAAACAAGGGTTCCAAACTGGTGACCTGCAGGGCAAATCAATGTGTAGCTATATTTGGTTTGATCCACCCACTACTAAAAAGATCTGGAAATATCACACAAAAATTTGGGTTTCTGGGTTTCCCTTGATATATTAGATCTTTTAACACTAGACTGGAATTTCATGTGGCTAGGATCTGCTGGAGCAAAATATTAGAATGTCCCTTTATGTAAGCCCTACCACTGTGTGTTGCTTCCACCTAGCCAATTTCACTCGTTAAATACCTATCTGGTCCCTGTAGGCATATGCACACGCGACCCCTAGATTAAATTGATGTGCGTGGTAGTGGTGGCGGCGGCAGTGGTGTGCCTATGTGTTTATAAATTAAACATTCAAATAAGATGGCTTAACAAATAGTCTCAACCCATGTGAGTTAAGAAATTATGATTTGTATTATAATTCATTCCTTTAACATTAACAGCCCATCAAACAGTAAAATATTCTTGTAGGGATAAACAAAGTAGATTCCAAACAAAATAAACAAATATTTTATTAATAAATAATAAAAATATAAATAAAAATAAACAAAATACTATAAATACTATGAAAACAGAACCTCCAATATTTATAGAGCTGCAAACTAATGCCATGAAATCTTTATCTCTACTTCTATTCTCCTCCCTTCTGAGTTTTCCCTCCCCAAAAGTATTACAGAAAAGTCATAATCTATTTTTTTTAAAGAAGATTTATTTTGGATTAAGTGATTTCATGATGCAACATGGTTTTAAACAAAAATAGAGATCAGTATGAAAATAAAACAAATTGTACACATTAAAATATCTTTCCCTCAAAGCATTTCGGAATCATAAAAAATACAACAAAAGAGTCAGGGGTTCAGTTGAGAATAAGAATACAGACTTCCCAGAAAATAAACAACTAGTCCCAGTTCAGAGTCCTAGGCCCCATATAATACCACCCAGAAACCATTTCTAGGATGTCAACAATCTGCATTATTTACTTTGAAAAAAAAATTACATATAAGGTGAAGTGAGAGCTGTATAACCTTAATGCTAACAGCAAGCATCTCCCATTATTATTCTCCATCAAAAGTCACATTAAATAAATATGAAGCTTAAATCAACGCAAAAACTGAAATACCACTATTAACTGTGACACACTGTGTGGTGAACGTAATGACTGAGGTTGGTGAAGAGAAATTAAAAGCTTAAAAAAATACACCACCTGTGTTCTACTGAAATCTTAGAAATAATTTTTTTACAGAGCCTTAATATTAAAAAGTAATCATTACTATAAAATTAGATTAATACTTTCAGTAAGAGGCGAGAGAGATGCATGTATTTTTATTCATTTATTTTGGAATGCCTGCATCCCTATTATAAAAACATGTAATTTTAAGCACTTTCCAACATATTAACAGCCCCAAATTTTACTTATGCTATCATATAAAGAAAAATAGGTTGTAATTTTATCTTTTAGAGCATTAGGGTCCTAAAAGAACATCCCATTCTGTGTTAATTCCTGGTTAATCCTTCCAAGGTAATTCCTGAACATCATCCATTCTTTTTTATGAAGGTGATAGTAACCAGAAGTTGACTGATGGTTCCTTACCTGCATCAGTAATAGCTGATTCAGTTTGAATCACACAACACGGCTATCCACACTCCTCAGGTTGTAATATCTTAAAAGTCATATAGAAAGATATCACCTGCCCAAGGGCACTACACATAAAAATCACATATATAAATTTAATTCTCCTGTGTTCCCCAGAAACCATACAACTAGGGCCATCTTATTCTGCTGAGCTGTTCAATTACGAAAGCCAAATAAACGACTCTGCAGATAAAATCTAAGCAAATCTATTTCCGGTCTTGATTAACTTCCTGACTTGGAAACACTAATTTAGTCTCCATTTGCAACCTCACTCTTAGGATTTCACTTTCCAGATTAACAGAGAGCATTTAAGTTATCTTTAGAAATCATGAAAATGTCTCAAATGCTATTCTAATGTCAAGGGATGTCCGCTAAAAAAACCAAATAAGTATAATGAAATAAAAGCACCCTTTCTTTCATTTCATACATGGTGTTCAATAATAGTAACAATAATTCTTAAATAAAAAAATCCACAACATAATTTTATGCTAAATTGTCAAATCTCCTGATCAAGCTATGGTTAGCTTTAATACTTTGGGACTAAATTCCACTTTGCAATACAGAAAATGTTAAATTACTGAAGTTATAAAATGAGGGTATTTCCCATCTAGTAGATCAAACTGTGCCTTCATCAGGGAGCATAGCTTTCTTCTTCTCAGTCTGAAACCAAATTGAAGTATGTTCCTACCCCCACCAGCAAGCCCTAAGATGATCCATCTACCGTTGTTTTAACTTTCCCTCCACTACACTCCTGTCCTAACCATCCTTTCGCTCCTTCTGACCCAGATGGCTATGATATGGACAGCACACACACGGTCATCCTTCCTGACAGCTCCTCGGAATGCAGTTACCACTCTGAATCTTGACAGTTGGTCAATAATTAGCATTATATTCTTGCGGGGTGGCACAACTGCTGGGCTCCTCTTTCCTCCTTTTTTATTTTTATCATCCTTTCAGTGGGCAGTAGCTGGCCTTAAGCCACAATTCAGAAAGCTTTAATGTCTTCAGCATTCCTTTGCATCCATACTAGACAAACAAATTAATTTGGAAAACACAAATGAATGGGAAAGAAACTAAGTTTTTGAAAATTAGAGTCTAAAAGTGACATTCTCATCAAACTCACGGCAGTAAGATGGAAGTAAAATGGCTAAGGTCCAGAGTGCTGTCCCTCACCTACTAAATCAGAAAGCAGACAAAACAGAGCAAGGCCCAGAGGCTCACGTCTGTAATCCCAGCACTTCGGGAGGCCAAGGTGGGAGGACTGCTTGAGCTCAGGAGTTCAAGACCAGCCTGGGCAACGTGGCAAAACCCTGTGTCTACAAAAAATATAAAAAAATTAGCTGGGCATGGTGGTGCATGCCTGTAGTCCTAGCTACTCGGAGGCTGAGGTGGGAGGCTGGCTTGAGCCTGGAAGGCAGAGGTTGCAGTGAGCCAAGATCATGCCACTGCACTCCAGCATGGGTGACAGCCAGACCTTATCACAAATAAACAAAAACAACTGCCAGCATGGTGGCTCACACCTATAATTACTCCTAGCACTTTGGGAGGCCAAGGCGGGCGGATCGCTTGAGCTCAAGAGTTTGAGACGTGCCTGGGCCTTGTCTCTACAAAAATACAAAAATTAGCCAGGTGTGGTGGTATGCGCCTGTAGTCCCAGTTACTCAGGAGGCTGAGGTGGGAGGATCGCTTGAGCCTGGGAGGTGGAGGTTGCAGTGAGCTCATGTGCCACTGCACTCCAGCCTGGATGACAGAGCCAGACTGTCTCAAACAAACAAACAAAGAAAGCAAAAGGCCCTGAAACTGAGACTCAGTTTGGAGATTAGACCACATTCTTCTTATGCATGTTTTTATTATGCAGGGTTACAGATACCTCTTAATAATGGCATTGCATCATTTCACATAAATACGGAGTTTCCTGAATAAGGTTAAATTGAACAGACTCCTATCTTCATTATAAGATATTTGCCTTGTTAGAAGTGGTCCAATCATAAATAAAATTTGTGAATTTTATCACTGGAACTCAGCTATTAGGGCTTACTAGATCCATCCCTATTAAAAATTTAAAAATAAAATAAGGCTTCTGATTAATGTTTTCCATTATCTTGTTTCCAAATAATACTTGAGAAAATTAAATGACTATTCTGTATAAATCCATCAAAAGCAATCACATTTTGCCTTCTGTTTTTTAAATTTCTCATGTCAAGTCATGAAATGCAAATAAGTCTACGGGGAAATTTTTTCCATGAATATACTAATTTCTTTATGGACTTTTCAGAAGGTGTCATATTTTAAATGTATCTGTTTAAGAAAGTGAGAGTTTGGAGGAAGCATCTTGGAAACCTCACTGAATGTGGAATATACTGGTACAAACATTAGTCTCCACATTTCTCAAGATGAAACACAGAATTGTGACTATGAAGTAATGAAACTGATGCCACAAGCCATCCATGAAAATCAGCCACAACCCAGATGGAACATGATGCTTGTACCCTACAAAGTGCGTGAGGAGCTAAACGGACGATGTACCTGACAGCACTTTGAAACTATAAAGCACTATGCAAGCATATTCTACCATTTCTTTCAAACACTTGAATGCATTTTTACCATTTCTGATTGTTGCACAGGTAAAACAGATTTTCCTTTATTTATTGCAGAATTTCTGCTAAATTATAAACGCAATATATGCTAGAAAATTGTGACCATACTTCTTTGACCAAGATCCATTCATTTTGTGCACAAGAAAAATGTTTTGACCCCAGAAGTGGTTTGGGCTCAGGGATTGGGATTTTTCACACTGAAAACCAATGGTGCATTGTAGAATAGATGAAGGGAAACAGGGAAACTTTCCCTGTTTTGGCATTTCACTGATAATTTCAAAATCTTTGAGTTGCTCCTTCACAGATCAGCTCCCTACACACTTTACACTCTCGTTGTGTAAGTGCATCCTGGCTTCAACACTTGACCAGTATTGACATACTATTACTTGCCATTGCTTCCCAATAGAAACAGCATTGATGTAATTTTTTTTAGCCACACTATCATCTATATATGAAGCCATTATTGAATCTCCCAGATGGAAAAAGCTGTTCTCTTCTCTCTTCATTCCTTGATTGTAGAACTTACCAAATTTTATTAAAAACACTTTTTTGAACCTTGGAGTCTACTCTACTACACTGTGAGCTGAGCTTTTCAAAGGCAGATTTAGACTCTTGTAGCTCCATCGTCAAACAAACATCAAACTGGCACAGAGGGAATGCCAATGATGTGCTTGTTCTCTCATCTAAGAGATGTTCTGCATACATATATGATGTATTAAGAGTGTCTTCTATAGTATAAAGAGCATCACTTAAAATAAGACCAGAAAGCCTAGTTATCTGGGTTCACAGTCCAGAAGAAAATATTTATGGATATTTCTAATTGTAGAGTACATGAAAGTCTAATTTATTCTGTGGAAATGTTATTTAATATTTTATATAGTTATTACTGGCTGTTTTGTTTTACTAAGAAAGAATAATAGATAAGTTAGCATGGTGTTCTGATATGATAAGTACATCTTTGATAATTCCCAATCTGAGAACAGTATCAACTAGATGATTATACTAATTAAGAATGTCTACATACATTAAAGTGTACTGTTATTTGGGAAAAAGTTGGATGCCTTAATAAAGAAATATATTTGTTAGAAATAATTAAAGAGATACATTTTATTTCAAATATCTTTTACCTAATAATATGAAATACCATAACTAAATGTCTCAAACCAAAATGAAGGATAACATGGTCTTTGAATGTATTTTTGAAAGAAATGCAACCTTTATCTGCTGCTTGGAGAATGCCAGCCCTGAAACATCTTGTATACCATCAAATATGTGACTTAAAAAAAAGTGTGTTATACTACTTTTCCTTATAATGAAAAGAATACAAACAAGTGAAAAGTTTGCAAAATTAAATATATACTTGTATTCATGATCAATAAGTACAAACTAACATTTCCAGTTAAAAGTTTTTCTTTTTTTCTCTTCCAATTATAGAATACAGAGAGCTCTTCCTTTCTTATTTCCAGATTTCTATAACCCTTTTTCAGAACATTTCTTCACACTGCAGTACGTGCCTTTAGTGCAGGAGTGTAACATAAGTGGTATTCCTCTTGAGGGTCCCAGTAGTAAACATAGCTTAACTCACAGGAGAGCAATCAGTTCTTACAAAACACCTATGAAAACTATGCATATGACCTCTATAAAATGTAAGATTGCCAACATCCCATAATAGGAATTCCATGGCTGCTTATAAATATAGATCTCAAAGAAATGTTTGGGCAATGCCTGTAAACCCATAGGCTGGCAAACCATATGTCAATCCAATGCTTTTATGACCCCCAATTTAACTTCACTCTATTGAAAATCTGATTAGTCAAGAAATAAACAAAGATGTGGAGTAATCCCAAAAGCAATTAAAATGAAGAATACCTTCTCATAAAATTAAGCAGAAGTAAGACTAGTGATGTCATGCAGTTTTGGAGATGCCATAGAAAAACTGTCTCTTAATATTAATAAGAAAATTATGCATCAGTGAAAATGCAGGCTTAGAAATATAGTTCTGAGTTTCAATTTGTGGTGTCTTCACTGATGAGGGAAAATGGAATTCTTACTACTGATCTCTTCAGTGTTGCTGATGGCTCCTTAACTGAGCTTAGTGTTTAATGATGCTGTACAAATAAAAAGCAGTGGGGGAAATACGAAATATCTGTATTAAATGCCATCCTGTAAAGTATTTGATGGATGGAAGAGAGTCTAATGCATTTTAAATAAATGCATATCATACTATCACATATAGTGAATCTTAAAAAATTATTACTTAGATGCACAGTCCTTGTAGTGGTAGACACGGCACTGTGAAGGAAGTTTGATTTAGAAGCTATTTTCTATTATACTTCTCAAGTGATGGAGTTGCTGTTAGTCATATTGTAATGTCCCTTCACCTTTGGTACATTCAGTGCAAAATATTTGGGGAATTTTTTTTACCTTTATAAAAATAAAAGGCCCTTTTGTTTCCTTGAGAGTGCTTAAAAGGATACATATTAGCATGATGCCCGAGTATGCATGGAACATGAAAATGGAATGAGTGATACATACAGCATGATAGGTAGGTTCTTATATACATCTTAAAGAACATAAACATAATGAACCTACAAAAAATAAACAGAACTCACTGTGTACTTTTTCCTGATATGCTGTGATTAATTGCTAGTTATTTTAAAATTGTTTTCATGCATTATAAAGCATAAAATCTGTCATTAGTAATTCACTGAATAATGGTTTGTCTTTAGCCATAATTACACACATACCACTTGCATATACATTGTCACAGACCATCTTATTGCAAATCTGTAAAGGTACCTCATATTGACTTGGTTTCATTTTCACTCATGTCCCATGAAAGCGGAAACCTATGGTGCACACCATGCAGGCACTCATAAGCAAGAAATGAATATTCTGTTATAACTTAGGGCTTAAATGAATGTACTTTCAGGAAATATATTTACTTTTATTATATTATTTAACTTGCTCTAATTTGGAGATTGGGCCAAATGCTGCCAGTTTGGCTTGAACCACGTTCAAGGGTAAGTTTCAAGATTCTCCTGAGTCCCTAAAAATTACCGTGGAGCTGATCATGTATGGGTTCATCTTTGTCTTGGAACATAACAAATGGAAAAAGTTTGGCAGTCAAGAACTGTTGATTGAAAGACGGTTGGGTTGTTCCCTGGGCATCAAGCTCACCCAAATCCTTCCAAGAGGACTCATCTCCAGTCCCCAAATGTGACAGAGCACTTGTTCCTGGAAAACAACAGCACATAGCTTTATCCTAAAGGAAGCATCCTCTTGAAACTTCCAATGTTCAATCATTCTTCTAGAAGGCAGCTTCTGAACCTGCCTGTCCACAGAGATGGGCATTCAGCTTCCAGGTCACTCAAGTCCAAAAGTACTGGTTTCTTCAACTGCTGTCAACAGTTTTTCATAAAGCATGGAAAAGGATGGGTAGGGAGGCAGATCCAGACGGTTAAAACATGTATGCGCTCTGAAAACACAAGAAACAGCACATAGTTTAGAACAGGCCGAGTGAAATGAAAATGTGTGTGGTGTGTGTGTGTGTGTGTGTCTGTGTGTGTATGACTGTCTTTCACATTCAAATTTATTTGTTGCCAATTTTCACACTCCTTTTGAAAAATCTTTGAAAACATTTTGACCTTAAAAATTCAGAACTGAATTTCTCTAAGGAAAAGAGGATATTTAAAAAAATATTTTATTTACATTTCACCACCATTTAAAAGCTATATTACATATAAATGACCATTTATTGAGTGGTCTAAGGATTACAAAGACAAGTTTGGTTTTTGTTTCTCTTTTGATGCTAGATTTTTTTTTTAATACACGGACATAAGGCCTTGCAAAGTAGTTCATTTTGAGTTGGCATATGCCTGGGTGTCTCTTCGATACTCTGTAGTTATGCATTTTTTCATTTTCTTGGACAGGGAAGAGGAGCCAGTGTCTCTGAGGGCCTGCCTCATGGCTTAGAGTCTTGGGAAATTCCCTGGCTGGACTTTTCTAAGTCAGTAGGCCATTGTTACTTCTTTGAATCCTGTGCTAAAATTTGCTTTCTCCCAATTCACAATAACAAAATAAGCAATTTAAATCATTACATTAAGTATTCTTTTTTAGAAATACTTCTTTTGCCAAGATAGGAAAAAAATATGTTTTCCTGTTATTTGCATCTGAATCACAATAAAAAATAGACAGTCTCCAAATAGTACATCTTATCAGGAAGCAAATCTGCACTTTTGACATGAAATAGGAAACATTCTATTCTGAATGTACAACAGCTTGTTTGGGGGACCTACATAACTTTGACTTAAAAAAAATACTCCTGAATAAGAAATTTTAGGAACTATGATTATTAACAAGCTATTTCTACAAAGTCACATGTCTATACTTTTACTCTGATAAATCCCTTTTCCTTATGAAATAAATATAATTAATATTCCTGGATGCAGTGTAATGTAGTGGGAAGACCAGAGATTTGCAGTTGGACATATTTGGGTTTGGATTCTAGCTCTATCAACAAGTGTGTGATTTGGAGTGAGTTATTAAAACTCTGAGCCCGTATTTCTCACCTTTAAAAGGGTGGTTATATAACTTGTCTGAGAAGGATGTGAGGATTAAGTGAAATAACAGAAACATGCTTAATAGAATGACTGGCTCATAGTGTTTGACCAATTAATAATAGAGGTATTGTTAGCTACATTTCATTACTATCAACAAGATTTGACTCTAATTGCCTTCAGTGAATTGCCACAAATAGTAATGACCCATGAGAATGATGAGATAATAAAGGGATAATAAAGCAGGTGTGTGGCCACATGGCTTATTAAAAACAGGAATGTGAACAGGATCTGTTATATTGTAAGAATACAGATAGAGTATTCCTTATCCAAAATGCTTGGCACCAGAAGTGCTTTGGATTTCAGATTTCTTTGGAATTTGGAATATTTGCATATATATAATGAGATATCTTGGGGAATGGGACCCAAGTCTAAACATGAAATTCATTTACGTTTCACATGCACCTTGTATACACAGACTGAAGGTAATTTTATACCATATTTACATAATTTGGTTCATGAAACAAAGTTTTGACCGCGTTTTTGACTGCACCCTGTCATATGAGGTCAGTTGTGAAATTTTCTACTTGTGGCATCATGTTGGCACTCAAAAAGTTTTGGATTTTGGAGCATTTTAGATTTAAAATTTTTTGACTAGGGATACTCCAACTGTATGAGTTTTAGGGTATAGAGATAGTACCGACTCACCCACTCCTAGTACTGTAAACTCTGGGATATATTGGTGGAAATCATCTAATGAATCTTTGCAGGCAAACCCTTTTTTGATACAATAAGCATTTCAGAATTGCATTTGATATCCTTAGACTGGAACGCAAATTGAGCCTCAAGAAAAGGTTTTACTTATTTAAAAATTCAACTTGTATACTACACTAGAGTCCTAGCAGTGGTTTATAATCTATCATCTGTGAAACACTGGAATAAAAATATTAAATAAAGATTTATCTCTGTTCCAGGGGTAGGGGAGGAAGAAGCAGAAAAGTAGAATACGTTTTGAATATAATTCTATGCCAAACTGTGTGTGTCAGACAAATAACATTTATTATCCTATTAGACTAACAGATGACACCACAATACTATTTTACAATTTTCATTTCTTTGGTTACCAATAAGGTTGAGCATCTTTCCCCCATGTCCTCTTGCTTTTTACATTTCCTGTTTTGTGATCCATATGTTCATCTCTCTTGCCCGATTAACTTTTCAGTATTTTTATTGTGATAAAATATACATAATATAACATTTACCATTTTAACTATATTTAAGTGCACAGTACCATGGCATTAGTACACCTACGTTATTTTGCAACCATCATCACTATCCATCTCCAGAACTTCTGCATCTCGCAAAACTGAAATCTGTATCCATTAAATAGTAACTCCCATTTCCTCTCCCCCTAGCCCCTGGAAACCACCATTCTACTTTGTGTCTCTATGAATTTCACTACCCTATGTACTTCATATAAGTGGAATCTTAAAATATTTGTCTTTTGTGATTGGCTTATTTCACTTAGCATATTTTAAGGTTGATGTTGTAGCATGGGTCAGAATTTCCTTCCTTTTTAAGGCTGAATAATGTTCCATTGTATGTATATACCACATTTTCTTTATTCATTCATCCATTAATGAACAGGAGTTTTTTTCCTACCGTTTGGCTATTGTAAATAATGCTCCTATGAACATGAGTGTACAATTATCTGTTTAAGTCCTCCTTTTCAATTTTTTGGGGGATATACACAGAAGTGCAACATCATATTGCATTTTTCATAGTGGCTGCAACATTTTACATTTCCATCAACAGTGCACAAGGGTTCCAATTTCTCTACATCCTCACCAACACTTATTTCTTGTTTTTTGTTTGTTTGTTTGTTTGTTTTATAATAGCTATTGTAATGGGTATGAAGTCCATTCACCTTTTAAAGCCTTAGGATTTCTTATTAAAATCAAGAGAGACTCTCACTGTTGTTGAATTTGAAGAAGGAAGCTACTATGAATTCTATAGCTGCAAGGAATGAATGCTGCCAACAACCCAAGGGAACTTGGAAGCAGATTCTTCCCTAGTTGGTCCTCCAAATGAGAATGCAGCCCCACCCACAGCTTGATTTCAGCCTTGTGAGACCATGAGCAGAAGACCCAGCTAAGCTGTGCCTGGATGCCTGCTCCATGAAAACAGTGAGATCATAAATGTGTGTTGTTTTACACTGCTAAATTTGTGGTAATTTGTTTTGCATCAGTAGAACCAGTAACAGGTCTCAAGGTAGTGAAACAGTTCAAGAAAAGGTGGCAAATGTGATGTTAAGTGTGATACAGTAGAATCATCTATCCAGGACAGGTGGTGAAACAAAGCTAGGGGTTGGCAACAGTTCTTTCATTCTCCCAGGTTTCTGAGTAGAGAAACAGGAACTTTGAATGTCTCTTTGCCATTTCTGTAGTATCTTTGCAGGTACTCTAGAAGCTTATCCAGTAAATCCACAAGCCTAAATACTCTTTTCAGTTCTCAACACAAAGGGAAGGCAAAGGGAAGGACTAGACAACCTTTTTTGTTCCTCTGCAGTCGTAAGACATAATCAGCATTACTAATCCATAATCTAAGGCTATTGCTGCTTCATAAATTACATCTGGTTGCATAATATATGGTTACCATAACACAACTTTCCTTCTAATAAACTAAACAGCTCCTCTGGAAAATATTTCGCGATGATGGGGAAAGCATATATTGTGGAGGGGGAAACTGTGTGGAAAGATTAAATGGTTTTCCCAAGGTCAAAGCTGAGTCAGTGGCCAAATCAAGAAAAGGACCTCAGTTCTGGGTCTCCTAGGGAAAGTCCAACATTAAACTGAAAGCGGGGAGATTAATGCTCATGGCTTCATTCTTTTACTTTTGGAAGCCTGAGTATTAATTTTATCCTACCTCTGACTACGAACTATTATTCCTCAACATCCTACTAGATTATCCACATTTTGAGGACAAGGATTGGCAAAATAAAGCTTCAGATATTTTTTAAATGAATAATTCAATCACAATATGCAGTAGCTCTGGGGAAAATGGCTGAGATTGAGTCAATCCAGAAAACCCTGAAAAATACCAGGGGATTTTTAGGTGATCATACCATCTAGCTCAATCTCAGGCTTAATAGAAGAAGGCAAATACTCAAAAGGATACTTTAGAGTGTATCAAAATCACTCCAGGAGCTTGTTTTACAATGGAGATTTTTGGTTGCACCCCTTGTGATTGTAATTCAGAAGGTTTGGGGTGGGCCTGGGGGAATATGCATTTTAATAAATATGCCAAGTGAGTCTGATGCAGGTGGTCTCCACTATTGGAGAGGCATCAAGTGGATTAGCAACATGATACCTACATTGGCTATTTGCACCAGTGTTTTATGTGCTTGCAGAAATTTCAAAACTCCTTATAAACAAGACAGCATTGCTAATAAGGAAATTGAGGAATAGTGTGGTTAAATAAATTGCCCAATATTTACCATCAACTTGCTCTATGAGCCAAGGCCAGGAAAAAAACAAAAAAAATGGCAAGCAACACATAATCCTTGGAGGCTTTTCACACCCCCACTCCCACCCCATTCCATGTCCTAAGAAAACTTTAGCAGAAAATAACAGGAGGGCCCTGGACTGTGTTGATGTTGGCAGCAAAAGTGCATCCAGCTATTCAGTCTCAATAAAAGAACATTTTTCAAATCTTTCAAAGCCAGTCACACTAAAGCTATAATGGGTTTACCTCATTTTAATCTATTTAGCCAGAACCACTCAAGGAAAGCAGGTCTGAACCCATCTTTGGGAAATCATGCTGGCATCAATATTAAGAAGATTTAAAAATTCTCCAGACATCTGGTCTGACTTAATAGATCTCTTGGTGCTTTCTGGATTCTTCAAAAATGTTAATCAGGAGGTCACATGCTTACCCTCCCTTTTTCCCTACAGATAGACAAGTCAATTAGATAAATCCAGTGAGCCAAAAGTATCAGTTACATTTCCATTTCCATAGATTGGTTTGTTGATTAATTTCTCTCTCTGTATGTGAATGTACTTAATTTTCCAATTTGCATTATATTTCATTTATTCCTTCACTCGCTGAATAAGTACTTACTAAGCATATACTCCATGCCAGGGATTCAGCTGTCCTCTGAGAGATGAGGATGAAAAGTCTGGTTTCTGTCCTCAAGGAGTTTACACTGTGGCAGCAAAATATACAGGCAAAAAGACCCTCTAAAGTTTGTGTATCCTGTGCTCTGGGGCAAGCAGGAACTGAAATCCAGCCTTCCTTTGGCTCTGCTTGCCAAATTGTGAGCCCTAGCTGCAGGCTGCATTTCTCCAAAAGGCTAGGAGACACCTTTGTTTCATTAGTCCCAAAGATGGGCTATTAGTGGCCCTGCATACAAACAGTTAATAATACTATGAGTTACAAGTTTGCTCAGCAGAGCCAAGGAAGGTTCATAGAGGACACTATCTGTGCCAAGGCTTGAAAGATTTGTAGGTGTGCAGGTTTTCTCTGAATCAACAACAAGGAGAAGGATGTTCCCAGCAGATGGAACATGACATTGCATCATCAGGAAACCTGAGAGGGGCAAGCGCCTAAGGGACAGGAGGCAAGGTTGGACCTGAGGCCAGATGGGGAGGCAGGGACACATCAGGAAGCCAGGAGTGTTCTTGCAAAAACCTTTTCCAGTTATTTCATGGATGAAAGAAAGAAAAGTGGGTTGGCAGAGGTATCTTTAAATAAGGCAGGGAATATAGGAAATGGGTAGAGGGACAGATGATGAATTCAAGGGCGTGAAATCAGCATGAGAAATCCAAAGTTACCAATTAAATAGAGTGATCGAATTCCATTAAAGGAATCCAGTTATAGTTTTGTTAGCCTGGGTAGCTTTATTAACACAACTAATGGTAAAACTTGTTAGAATTTTTAAAATATTCATAATTTATCTAATATCCTCATGAATACCTTCTTAGGCCATGAGGTTTAGAGCAGAAATTCCTATTAAGAGTAGGGCACAAATATGTGTGTAACTTATGGCAGCAGAGCACAATGCCCTGACCTTCACCAGGTGTTCGGTAAAGGTGAATTCATGGAAAGAAATTCTATGGTGCTTGCTATTCCAACTACTCATTGGTCATGTTCCATTTTGGGACCAATGATGTTGGTTATCTGTTCATGTAAATATCCATTGCTTCTCTCCCTGTGTTTTAAGGTCAACGTATATCTCCCACAAGGTTCGGCACTTAGTAAAGCCATGAGGAGTATCTATAGACGGGTGAGGGGAATTAATCTATTCACTAATTAATGTCTTATTCCAAAGTCTCATTAGGTCACTTTGGTTAAGGTGCACTTGGATCTGTAAATACAAAGTGGAATATTCCCATAGGGGGGAATTCCTGTATCTGGGGTAACTAGCAGAAGAAACTCTTCAAACTATGCATTCTGAGCAGGTACCTTCTTCACTTGTGAATGCCTCTGGGGAGAGATAAAGAGGGTACATACTTTTCAAATGTAAGAATTTAAACCAAACAGAACAAAGTCCAGTAAGGACAGTTCCAGGAATGGAAACCCCTGTAAGTCCAAACAAAATACAAACACGCTGGGTGAATATGGCACATTTCTCACACACCTAAAGACTATAAAGTATCCGGCCAGCCCTGAAGGCTAGATATTAGGAAGAATAGTAAGAATGGCTAAATTTATTGAATGATGTTTTAGGCCTTATTCTAAGCACTTTGCATGTTATCTCATTTAATCTTCAAAACAACTTTGTAATATAAATGCTAATTTCTATCCCAACTTTTCAGATATGGATACAGAGATATGAAAGTCTGGATTATGATTTTGGAATTTCTTGTCTGGAGTGGTCCAAAGTTATCCCTAAAGATTTCAAATTCACTAAAAACAATATTTATGGAGTACATGTGCTAAGCACTGGGCTCACTGCTAGGAGCAAAGCCATGTTTAATTCAGATAAGGTACTTGTTCTCACAGGATTATACTCCAGAGGAGGAGACAGATAATCAACAAGTAAACCAATAACTGAACATGATGACTGAATTGGGTCAAGCCTAGTGAAGGAAGTAAGGGGTGAAAGAGTGACAGGTGCACTAAGGACAGAAGCCTGGTGGGCCTTTCTCAGGAGATCACCTCTAACCCGAGTCTTGGGGACAAGAAAGAGCCAGGCATGAAGGACCAGCAGATAAGTGTTATAGGCAGCAATTCCCTGAGCCTTGAAGCATAATTGAGTTTGGCATATTTGAGGAATACACAGAAGGAGGCTGGTAGGTGTCATGGGTTGGGGGAGAGGGTACATGTTGAGGTTGCAGGAGGAGGCAGACCAGGGCCCCACAGGAAGTCCTTGGGAAGGAGTCTGGATTTTATTCTAAGCCACCAGAGGGTGTAGGCAAGGGAGGGAGGTGACCTTGAGATGTTTGCAGATCCCAGTGGTTGTTGAGTGCAGAATGAATGAATGGTGGGATGCAGGAGAAGCAGGGGATTTAGCCAGCAGTCTACTGCAGTAGTCCAGGTGAGGGGGGATGGTGTCATGGACTAGGCTGGTGGAAAGAAATGAGCCCAAACTGGTTTTTGCTCTTGAGGCCAAGGAAAAGTGGGTAAGCATTCTTTAACTGTTGCAATGTCTGTCACTCACAAATAGACACTTTAAAATCTGACTTGTGAAATAGCTCTCAAGGACCTTTAGTAGATTTGACTTGGACTATCCTGTCCTCTGTTGTCAGCAGCAACAATGCTGATGGAATGCAAGTGGAATGATTATCTCATTCCATTAAAGTCACAAATTCTTTCAATAGCTTGACGTTTTACATTAATTACAGAAGAGTCCCTTTTTTTAATACAATCTGTTTTTATGATAAATTTACCCACCTCCCAAAGTAAAGACCAATCCAAAAGGTATATGACATTTAAGAATCTTTAATATGGTGATGTGATGGGTTAACTCTGGCATGTTTTTGTTAGTACATGCAGATTCAATGGCAGAATAAAGTGAAAATTTAAAATACAGTTATATAGAACTGAGTGAGAGGGCAGAGGGGAAAGGAGTTGAAGAGAGTCTTGGACCTGAGGTTCAACTACAGAGCAGACCACTGTATGAGAATCTCCTGTCAATTCTCTCCCACACGAAAAGCCACATCAGCTCATCAGCAGGCGGTAGGGAATTAGGAAGACCAACGAGGGACACCTCAGGGCAAATATAGAAAGGAGATGGCCCCAAAGGGTCCTTCTAGTACTCATCTCTTGTTCTGATGGTTTTTCTTTCTTTCTTTCTTTTTTTTTTTTTTTTGAGACGGAGTCTGGCTCTGTCGCCCAGGCTGGAGCGCAGTGGTGCGATCTCGGCTCACTGCAAGCTCCGCCTCCCGGGCTCCCGCCATTCTCCTGCCTCTGCCTCCCGAGTAGATGGGGCTACAGGCGCCCACCACCACGCCCGGCCAACTTTTTGTATTTTTAGTAGAGACGGGGTTTCACCATGTTAGCCAGGATGGTCTCCATCTCCTGACCTCGTGATCTGCCCACCTTGGCCTCCCAAAGTGCTGGGATTACAGGCGTGAGCCACTGTGCCCAGCCTGGTTTTTCTTTTAATTGAGGAAAGTGACATTGTATTTCAGGACTTGGTTATTTTCCGGTATACTGGCTGATAATTCACTTTGACAGTAGACAATGCTCCCTATAATGGAGGAGGGAAAACTGAATTATTGATAACATTACAGAGCAATATTTAATGACATGGAAAGATGTTCCATGTGATAAACGGAATGTTGTTTTAAAATGTGTGTGTGTGTGTATGTGTGTGTCTGTGTGCCTGTGTGTACCTGAAGAAATGAGTGAAATCACATACTCTAACATGTTAACAGAGCTTATCTTAGTAATTGACTTTTTTTTCCTTCAGAAATGGTATCTCTCTATGTTGCTCAGGTTTGACTCAAACTCCCATGCTCAAGCCTTAGCCTCCCAAGTACCTGGGACTCCAAGCATGCACCACCATGACCAGCTAGTAGTGGACATTGGGTGGACATTGGATTGATACATATGTAGGTATTTTAATATATATTTAATATATACATATATTTCTTAGCAATTTTTTGTAAAATTTTCTTTTTATAAATTAGAATAAAAAGCAGATTTTTTTTTCTTTTGAGATGGAGTCTCACTCTGTCACCCAGGCTGGAGTGCAGTGGCATGATCTTGGCTCACTGCAACCTCCACCTCCTGGGTTCAAGTGATTCTTCTGCCTCAGCCTCCCGAGTAGCTGGGATTACAGGTGCACACCACCATGCCTGGCTAATTTTTGTATTTTTTTTTTTTTAAGTAGAGATGGGGGTTTCACCATATTGGCCAGGGTGGTCTCAAACTCCTGACCTCAAGTGATCTGCCTGCCTTGGACTCCCAAAGTGCTGGGATTTCAGGTGTGAGCCACTGCACTCTGCCAAAAAGCAGAATTTTAAAAACAAAAAGTTGTTATGTTTTTAAAAAATAATTTTATCTTTTAAAGTTCTATTCCATTAGATTAACTGTCTCCATAAGACATCTATTTCATAATTAACTCTTACAATTTATTTCTTAATTTCAGTTAGCATTTCATTCATAATAATCTCCAGACACAGCCATTTTCAAAAATTAACGCTTTTCCCTTTGGCAATAACCAACACACCCCCATGACGATTGCAGCTCTCAGGTCCTCCGTCCCATCACCCAACTTGGCAAGAACCTGGGGGATGAACACAGAAACTCACACCATGGTGGGAGACAGGACTGCTCTGCAGTTTTCAGGCTGGCATCTTAGCAGCGCATTTTTTGGACTGTTTGAGAGCAATTGCCACAAAGTGAATGTACTCTCTTTTCATAAAGTCCATCAGAGCACCAGGGGTATGAAGTCTTCCACAGAAATGCAAAATACAGAGCTAACCACCGACCGCGAAGCAGAGGAAGTGCAGTCATGTGCTCAGGCTGTAGGTCTCCATGGAGACACCCTTCTGTCTACATCCTTATTTATCATCTGGGTCTCTAGTCACTTCATAACCACAAGAGGAAAAAAGAGCCATGGATTCAACTTGCACTGGCTGCAGAGACAACCATATATACTTTTATATACTCCTTGACTCATACTGTGAGCAGCGCTATCCACTGCTACCGCAAAGTGAGACTAGGAAATCTGAGAAAAGAATGAGACTCACATTTGCCTGCTTGAAAATTGAAAGGCCCTCCATCATCCTTGTCTAGAAAGACTAAGATTCTCTCCCTCATTGCTCCGGTTGCCAGGACTGCCCTCATCCTTTACAGCCCCTCCAACCCTCCAGGGCAGAAACTCCCATGCCCGACACAAGACCATGCCAGACTTCTTAGAGGATTCTTTTTTTTTCTTTTTGAGACAGAGTCTTGCTCTGTCGCCCAGGCTGGAGTGCAGCATTGCCATCTCGGCTCACTGCAACCTCTGCCTCCTGGGTTCAAGCGATTCTCCTGCCTCCCGAGTAGCTGGGACTATAGGCGTATGCCACCACGCCCAGGTAATTTTTGTATTTTTAGTAGAGACAGGGTTTCACCATGTTAGCCAGGCTGGTCTCAAACTCCTGACCTCAGGCAATCCGTCCGCCTTGGCCTCCCAAAGTGCTGGGATTACAGGTGTGAGCCACCATGCCCAGCCAGGATTCATTTTTTAAGTAAGAAGGACATCTATCCATTTTTCTCCCATGTGTGCAATGTAATTTTTTTTTTAATTTTAAGTTCAGGGGTACTTGTGCAAGTTTGTTATAGAGGTAAACCTGTGTCACTGGGGGTTTGTTTTACAGATTATTTTGTCACTCAGGTATTAAGCCTAGTACCCATTAGTTATTTTTCCTGATCCTTTCCCTCCTCTGACCCTCCACCCTCCATTAGGCCCCAGTGAGTGTTATTCCCCTCTATGTGTCCTTGTGTTCTCATCATTTAGCTCCCGCTTGTGAGAAGATGTAGTATTTGGTTTTCTGTTCCTGTGTTAGTTTGCTAAGGATAATGGCCTCCAGCTCCATCCAGGTTCCTACAAAGAACATGATCTCATTCTTTTTTATGGCTGCATAGTATTCCATGGTATATATGTACCATATTTTCTTTATCCAGTCTACCATTGATGGGCATTTAGGTTGATTCTGTGTCTTTGCTATTGTGAACAGAGCTGCAATGAAGATACACATGCATGTGTCTTATAACTGAATGATTTATATTCTCTTGGGTATATACCCAGTAGTGAGATTGCTGGGTTGAATGGTATTTCTGTTTTTAGATCTTTGAGGAGTTGCCACACTGTCTTCCACAATGGTTGAACTAATTTATACTCCCACCAATAGTGTATAAGCATTCCCTTTTCTCTGCAACCTTACCAGCATCTGTTATTTTTTTGTACCATGTCACATTTTAAATGTTAAACATCATTTCACTCATAGGAAAAAGAAATACACTGGGGCCAACTAGCTTGAGACAGACCAGCTCTTCCATTGTGCAACTTAACGCCTATCAAAAAATAGCAGAAAAATGGCTTCAGTGTATCTGTTCTGATGGTAGGAGAAATGGACTTGATAATATAAAAGAATCTCTTTAGGCCAGAACCAATTTTACAGATCTTTTTTTACACCTAAGTAATGCCCCACATTTCATTAAGGGTGATGACAATGTTGTCAATGAAGAAGTTGCTTCTCATATAACTATACTGTCATGCAATTAAGTTCTTTTAATTTTTTCCCTCCGAATGTACTTTTATTCTTTGTGGAGCCAATGTTAATAGTTAAAGTAGTACAGTGGCTTACAAAAGTCAGGATAAAAAGTTAAAAAAGAACAAAGTAAACACAGTGTTCCTAAGCCTTTCATATACATTATCTTACAATTGTCAAAAATACTCTGAACATTGTTACTCCTACCTTAGAGGGATGGATCTAGGGTTTTGCTTAGGATGATGTAACTAGTGTGTCATAGGGCTTAGATCTGTGCTCCTGCGTGTTACCTGGGTTACATAAGGTGACTGCAACTCTGAAGCAGAAAAGCCAAGTAACTCTTTCTTCTCATCAGACCCCAAAAGATGGGGCTTGTTACGGAGAGGGTATGAAAAGAGGCTGCTTGCTCAATGTGCCTAAGACCATCTTTATTTGTGCTGTTTTATAATCTGGGTAAAACTAGGAATGTAGAAGCAAACTTAGGTCATAGTGAAGACAGGGAGAAAGGACAGTGCCTGTTACCCAACTGTGTGTATGCTACAATAATGAAGAATACCACCATTTACAATGAGTTAGCACATGAACTTCCTGGAGCTCCAGGGGGAAGCAGAAATGCAAATCCAGCCTGACCCTCAAGATTCTTCAGCAACCCTTCGGTGTTACTTCTTGCTCAACCCAACCTAATATACCACCTCCTCCAGGCCTGTTACAAATGAGAAAATCAAGGCTCAAAGATGAAGTGTTCTCTAAGGTCCCAGAGTTAGCTGGTGGCAGAGGTGGGACTAGAAGCTAGGTCTTTTAACTCCTACCCCTGCCCTCTTTCCAATATGCAAATATCCTGCCTGATATGTATTACAGATGATGGTGACAGAAATCACAATGGCAGCGATCACTGACTGGATGCTTACTCATGGCCAGAGACAGTATTAAGTATTTTTCATGAATGATTTCACATCATCCTCAGAATTTCAAATCCACCAGATAGATGAGGAAACAGAGGCTCAGAAGGATCATGCAACTTCACCAAGACCCTGCTGCAGGTAAGTAACAGAGGTGGGACTCAGCCTAGGTCTCTCTGAAGCTAAAGCTCCAGGTCTATATCAAATTACTTGTCTCTACCCATCAGGTTTGGTGAAAATTACAGTGATTAAATATGAACAGTGGACATATCTGCTTACTGTTGCACTTTATTCCATATACTTTAGTGGCTTTACAGAAATAGATTTCAACAAAAAGCTGACCATTAATCTACCCTTTCCTTCTTCAATGCAAATTCTTAAAGAGTTTCTCAGAAGAGTAAAAAGCCTTATTCAGATAGGCTAAATCTGTTGATTTATGTGTTGAAGGGGAGAAAACTCATTATCCAAGCATAAATAAAATGAGCTAGTTCTTTAAATAATGAAATCAAATAATGAATTCCCAGATTTGGAAATCAAATATGCCAGGTAATACTTAGGTGTCTGGATGCACAGCCTGTTCAGACTGTGATGCGTGTGGGGTGGCCAAGGAGGCTCAGGCAAACCCTTGAGCAGTCATTCTTTATCGCTCTCTCCATTTGTATTTTCAGCACCCTTTTTCTCATCTGTTGATGCTGACAATACAGTTCTTAAGAACTGGCATCTTTCAATTGCTAAGAAGAAAGCTTTGATAACAGATTGCTCAGTTGCTTGTACTTAAAGAAACAGATGACATCTTGGGGTACCTAATGTCACCTTATATAGTAACAATAATATCACCTAATATCACTAATAAAATAGGTTTCTCAAAGTCATCTATACTTCAATTTAGGATAACATCTTGGGGTACCTAATATCATTTAATCTCTCTAGAGTATAGTTGTATTATTAGTAAAGTTAGAGGCAATTTCAGCTCCTTTTTACCTCAAAAATGCTACAGTATTACTACTAATTGGATAAAGGAATTCTAAAACAAATTTTCTTCCATTCCTCTTTTGTTCATATGCTCCTTTTCTGTTGCTCCAGCTCCAGTTATCTCCACTCAATCTCAAACACTTTTTGTACTAGTCCTTGCTTCTATTTTCCATATCAGATGGGTAATGTGTGGACGTTGTAATAAGGCTTGAGGGTGGCACATCTCACATATGTGCATGAACACCCAATTATCACACTGACAAATTGCAAAAGGATCAGTCTTTTGCTTTTATTAGCAGCAACAGCAAAGCATTTTTTTTCTATTCTAAGGAAATATGTAATCTTACTATGAATGAGAATACAATGCAGAGAGCATGGAATTAAGACATGTACGAGACAGGCTAAAGAGATCTAGAGCACATCCACATTATCTAATATCCTTTAGAAACTACAACGGTAATTTTTACTGAAGGGATTCTAAATAGTTATAAAGTTAAAACTCAAGCTTCTGGAAACACCTGATTAGAGCCACAATCATAAGCCACAAGCATGATAACCAACGTCGCTTTACTGATGCTAACAAATACTTTGCTTTTGTTGTGTTTTGTATTTTAAGATATGGATGTATGTATTTTAAGTGTGACCAGAGAGATCTTTTTTCCTCTTCGTTTAGAAAGGTTATCAGGGAGAAATTCATTCTAAGAGCTTTTCCGCTCTCCCAAACTTTTAATATAAAAGCAGTAATTAATCAATATATACATAAATGAATGTCTCCACCAAATGTTGTGACAGTAAAGAAATGTTATTTTATATTTTACCTGGGAAGAGCAGTGATTTTCCCCCATTTCTCCACACAGAATCTTCTTGGGCCGTTACTCCCTCGGAGTGAAGCAAATCCTTCATAGGGAATGCTGGATGTGCCTGTAACAAACTGTCAACCCAAGAAAACAGAAGGAGAAGGTGAAGCCAGAGACCAACAGCCAGGAAAGGCATCACGTCATTCACGGGCAGAGCTCCTGAGGAAGAGCAGGCAGGAAAGTTCTGAAGACAAAACTTCACAGGTGTGGAATAATCACAACACAATTCTGACACAGAGCCAGAAGATAATACTAAGAAAGAGAATACTGTGCATGATAAAGGGAAAGGGGATGTGGAGGGTTTGTAGAAAATAAAGCACCTGATGCAGCTGACCAGCTCAGAAGCTTAAACCGGGCACATTTCCCACTATAGATGAATAAAGTGGGATCAATTAACCCGAGTCAACTTAGCATCAGTCCTTGATCAATGTCGGGTGAATTTAAAAAAGAGAATGTCTGGGCCTGCAATTTTGAGGCCCAGACCCTTAATCCAAAGGAGCTAAGATCCAAAGGAGCTAAGAGTACTTGTAAGGCTCTGCCTGAGCATCCAGAGACTTCCTTGTGTCTGGTATTTCTATAGCTGCAACTGATCAGTAATTGTCCTGGATGACCATAAACACCACACGCAAAAAAAAAAAAAACACAAGTTAGTTTTCCCACTGTTCTTGAATGTCACTGTTTTCTCAAATTTGTGGAAAGTTAGATGAAAGAGAAGAAAGGACTGTCAACTAACTGCATCCCTTTTTAAAGAACTTAAAATCATTTCTTTCTGCTGCTAGGGATGCCGGCCTGCACTTTGGGTACCCTGGGTGCTTCTTGCTGAAGGGTCCAAGCTGTCCTGAAGGCAGATGTTGTTACTGGGATTCTTGGACTGGACTTGACACTTCCCTAAACTCTCATGAAATGCTTTAAGTTGGCTTAGGGAAGTTCTGAATAGCCATGGAGTCACATAACCATGCAATCAGGAGTCTGGAAATGGTGTATCTCATATTTCCAGATACACATGGTATGTGTTTATGGAGAATAGTTAGCAGTTATTAAAAACATACACTTCCAACAATAATCATATTGATACATTTAAAAGATTAAATAATGGCATCTCACCTGTAACAACCTTAGTCGTTGTTCATTGTTGAATCTTTCCACTGCAGCCCAGAACCACCGAATTACAATATGATTGTCATGGTATCCTATCAAACCAATCATAAAAGCCCATGTTACTTTGACTCTTCTATATTAAGCCACCAAGATACGTGACACGAAGAGTCCCCAGACATAAATCATCCTCTTGAATTCTTTACAAGTTGTCTATAATTTTAAGACTAAGGAATAACACTGTATATATGATCATATGAATGTCAAAAGTTAAACAAAAACAACATTAAGTGAAACCAAGAGGTCTCTGTTTTCATTTAACGGTCACTAAGTGAAACTAGTAAAGAGAAGAACAACAAATGAGTTATTTTAACCATATCATTTCTGTAAAATACAACAGTTGTTACTGGAAATACTTAACTCTTTCGGTCATTCACATAAGAAATAATTTTCAAATACCTCTATGCCAAGCACTGTACCAAGGTTGGGGGCATAATGGCAAAGAAAACAGACCCTCCCAGGGCTTCTGGCAGAGGGGAGACACATTAATCAAATAATTTATACAAACAAATACATAACTGCAAGCTCTCTTAAAAGCTATATATAATATTCATACTTTAAAATCAACTTAGTTTCACATTGACTTACTAATAAAAAGGGAAAAGTGACCTTTAGTTCCTTAAATAAATCCTGAGTAATCACCAACTTAATTTTACTCTTATTCCATACTTTAGTAGAATTTAAGAAAATGTCAAAGGAATCACCTCATGGGCAGTGATGATGGATTCCAAAAACCTTTCAGTGAAAACAAAAATTAAATTCAGAGAAAAGGCTAACAAGGATTTAGTGATTCAAACCAATGAATAGACATAGTTAATGGGCACTGAGTTAGTAGTCCAGAATAGAAGGCGGGTAGAAATTATTTTAATCCAAATTTTTCCTCACATTTCAGTAGTTGTAGGATTTGGGAGGAATCTCACCTTACTGTTTACCATTTCAGTGATGTTTAGTCCCCTTTGGAGAAAAAAAGGATCAAAGAGAAGGCTGATCAAAACTGGATTGAACATGAGGACACATGGGCCATGCCCAGAGTTTGGTGAAGACTAGCAATTTGGTACTGAGCAAAGTTTCTCATCTACAAAAGAAGTGCACTGGCTCTTTGTAGCTTTAAAGTTTTTTGACCTTATGAATTAGCCCTTTTCTGCTTCCCTTTTGCTATTTGTGCCAAACCTTTTGGAGGAAGAAGAGTGAATGTGTCTCATCATATTCTCTCCTAGCAGCTGGGGTGTGAACATATGGCAGGTGGCAGCCACACAGCCGCTTCTTTACTCAGTGCCAAGTAGCTGGGTGAGCAAACATGGCAGCTGAGGTTCTCAGCATTTTTCTTCCCCCTCCCAAAGATTTCATTTGATAAGATTTACAATAACCATATAAATAGGTCCTTGATTAGTCAGATTTAGTGAATAAAATTTTATGCCATGAAAATACAAAAATGGCTGATTCTATTAATGCATTGCTATTAGAATCTCCTGGGTCCGGGCGTGGTGGCTTACACATGTAATCCCAGCACTTTGGGAGGCCAAGGCAGGAGATCGCTTGAGGCCAGGAATTCGAGACCAGACTGGCCAACATGGTGAAACCCCATCTCTACTAAAAATACAAAAATTAGCCAGGTATGGTGGCATACACCCTCTGTCTGAAAAAAAAAATTCATCTCCTGGAAGGAAAGAATGAGCTAATAATATTTATGGTAAAATATAACTTATGTAGCATGTCAGAGAAATTGTGCTCTCAGTAAAAATCGATGGGTTAACAACATTATAATAACCAAAGAGATACATGGATTATACTTGGGCCAACTGGAAAATACTTATTTCAGCAATTGGACTTCAGAAATAGAAGCAATGGAAACTGCAATTAAATACAGCCTTTCAGATTAAATGTGTGAGCAAGGCCAGCCCATGGTGCAGGGATGAGCTGGAACAGGCAAGCACAGGCATAACCAAAAGCAATTTAGCAAATGTTAAGGCATTTTTTTACTACAAACTTTTAAAACTACCTTTTTTAAAAAAAATCTCTGCTTCAACTTAGAGATAACTAGAGAACTGTTCAGCTCTCAATTTACTCTGCTAAGTGATTAATTCAGTGATGTTAGGTTTGTAGTTTTCATTCTCCAAGTTCAGAACTACTTCTAATCTCTTATACTTTGAGTTAAAAAACAAAACCCAAAGGAGAAAACAACTGGTATTTGTCATGAATTTCTGAAGGCTTCCTAACATGGTGATAATTTTCAGAAAATGTATTCTTTGCTTAAAATTATTTAATAAAACCTTAACTCTGGGTTACCACCAGGTCCCTTGCAAAGTGTTGGTTTAACACTCAAATTTCAATGGCTTTGGTCCCAGTTACTAATCAATAATTTGTACTGATCTGCAGAAGTGTCACTTTTTTAGCTTCCCATTTTGTGAAGTGTCAGATAGTGCAGTTTTTAATTAATCTTACTACAGTCTTCTTTTCACTTGAAATTCATGCTTGAATTTAGAACTTCTCCAATAATGTTGTATTTTGGGAACTGTGTCTTATTCCATTCAAGTGTTCTGACTATGAATTACAACTGATAAGGAGCGTAGTGAACAGTGGAAAAACTGTGCTGATTGGGAAGCTCAAAGGGTGTGCTTTTCTAAGTTTTAGAAACAAAATGGAATAGGTGGAGTTTGACCAGCTGGATGTTAGCTCCTTGGTGCTTCACTGACAACACGATAAAGTAATTAATTAGTGTTCTTACGGTCACATTTCCTCACCAACAATTAAGAGTTATGACATCCTTTGACGGTGTGTAAACAGTCCTTCTCCCATCTGACAGATGAGGTAATTAGGAAAAGAAGAGAATGTACCTTGCCCAAGGTCTCAAGGGAGCCTGCATCAGACCTATGATTAGAGTCCAAGTGCTGTTGCCTGTCCTATATTCAGTTGGCAAGCTGAACCATGCCTTCCTTTAATTTGAAATTTAAAATCTAGCCATCTATAAATCAAATTTCACCTCCTCTATATTCTGTGTTGTTTCTCCAATCACTTAGGTCTATTTCAGCTGTGCCTGCGATGACCAATTCCAGTTCTCTTGCATCAAAAACAGATACCAGCCTGGCATCCACCACCTGTGGAATAAAAAGAGTACAAGGCATGGCTTAGGAGCCTGGAGAAATATCAGCTATAATTAAGCCTTAGAAAAGGGGACACATGGAGTTTCAGGAATAATATGTGTGTACCTTGTGTTGGCACTTGAAAACCTGTAAAGCTCCCTACAAATATAAGGCATTCTTTAGTATAAGGTTGATGAGATTTGCCTTGACAGAATTTTTGTTTTATAATTGATTGCTGATTAATCTAGGTCCCGTCCACCTTTAGGAAACTATCTAGTGTTTCTACAGAAAAAGTCACATACAATACATGCCAACTCATTCTGATCTCAGATATAATTATTTCACATAGCAAGCATGAGATTTGATTACCCATATCTAAGCATAAGATGCATGGCTTAAATGTTACTAGTGGTCATTAAATCAACAAATGCTACTTGAATGCAGTCCATAACATTTATTTCAGTGATCTCTCGTAACAGTGAGTTAAGCTTCTTTTGGTGCTCTTGAAACATAAGGGAAAAAATACTGAACTTTTCGCATGGAAAGAGCAACAGTAAATACAGCAGAAATAGTCTACACATGTAAAGTACAATAAGATGGACTGTGGCATCATTGATATCAGACTGCAAACTCCTCCTACTGCTGATTGTCTTTACCTCATAGAAGCCACGCACTAAGCTCTCTGTTTGCTGTACAACACCCCTCTCAATCCTCCACTTCACCATCCTCTCGATGTACTCCTTCTTGTTCTTCTCTGTAACTGGGATATTGGCACCCCCTGGCTTTAATTCTCGTTCAGTTATCTGAGATTACAAAATAAAAAGAATGACTACAAAGCAATACTCTTAATGTTATAACAACATTACTAGCATTGAGCTGAAATCAGCCAGCTACCTGTCCCAGCCCTGCCCTAGGCACATCCCACAAGCTGGCAGTGAGGCCCCAGGCACTCACGGAGCACACACACTCAGGAAAAAATAGGCATTGAGGGGGTGCTTGAAAGCTTTGGTGATTAAAGTATATATATGTATTGCTGTTACTACAGGTTAAGTTTTAAAATGCCGATGAATCGGCTTCAGATACTAGCCTGCTACTATTTGAATGTTTGACAAAACCCATTTTCACAAATTTCTCAGAATTGACTATATCTAGCGTAAAGATTTACTTTAAAGCAGAATTACACTCAAGTGAATGTTAAATTGAGAACTTTTTCAAAACACATGGAATGCAGAAAAGCAGCTAAAGATTAATGCCTAAATAAGAATATTAATTATAAACTGGTATATAATTTCTGGAAGAAACGTTTTCCCTACTCTTCCACCAATTTTGAAAAAAAAATTAATATATTCTGTTCTTAAGTCTTCCCCAAAACATTGTTTATGTTCCCTTAGCTTCAAAAAAATCAATTTTGGTTCTCTTTATTTTTCTTTTCTTTTTTGAGACAGGGTCTCACTCTCGTCCCCCAGGCTAGAGTGCAGTGGCATGATCCAGGCTCACTGCAGCCTCAACCTCTCCAGCTCAGGTGACCCTCCCACCTTGGCCTCCTGAGTAGCTGGGACTACAGGTATGTGCCACCACACCTGGCTAATTTTTGTATTTTTTGTAGAGATAGGGTTTCACCATGTTGCCTAGGCTGGTCCTGAACTTCTAGGCTCAACTGATCCTCCTGCCTTGGCCTCCCAAAGTGCTGGGATTACAGGCATGAGCCACCGTGCCCAGCCACCATTCTATAAATGCCAATTAAAAAATTCTGTAGTGTGGACTTTAAAAAACTGCATTCTATATAAGGTAAATTCTCATATTTTGGGGGATATTTTAGTTGGAAATAAAAAGAAGATTGCTTACAACATAAACAGTTATCACCATCTGTAATTTACAGCATCTTAATCTGCAGCTGACATTAATTCTAATCTTTATAACTGCGGTTATTATAACTGTGTGTGATCCTGAGTTTAAATCACCCAATAAACCACGAATAAATAAGCATCTGATCTTAGCCATGGAGTTAATTCTTCACTCATCAATAGCCTTCAGTTACCACACTTAGGCGCCAGGTGTGCAGATACACACACCTGCCCAAATACTTCTTCGTTCACAGTGAACGTGAGGTCTAGGATGTCATGGATATCATTGTCTTTCATCCACTGCAGGCTCTGATGGAACTCTTCATCAAGGTATTCTAGGTCACTCAGGTCACATAGACTAAGATGACAAACAGACAGAAACAAATATGTAGGCATGGCTATTAGCAAAAACCCAGAGTCATAAGGAAAGAAACTAAGAATTAAAGAGAAGAATAAGAGCCACTACATAGGCAGTGATTTCTGGAATGTTCTTAGTCCAAGTCCAGTAATTAAACCAAACCAGTGAAATAATTCAGAAATTTGTTATAAAATTAGAAAGTCCTAAATATATAATATGCCACAGGAATCATTCAGCCTGCGTCTTCCTTTATAGACACAGAACTGGAGGTGCAAAGAATGAGTGCCATCTGCGCAGTCATCCATCATCAATGCCAGATCAGGAACTGGCACTCGGGTTGACAACTTGGATCCATTATTCTTTCTGGCCATATTATACTACCTTAAAATACTGTTATCTTAATTTGAAATTATTTATATATTTCTATATTTTAACTTTTTTTAATTGAAAGACATGATTTTTATTTTAATATTTATTTTATTTTATTTTTTATTAAAGACATGATTCATCTTCACATACATTCCCTTTTTCTTCATGGTTCTTATTCTGAAAATAGTAAGCCACAGAACCTGCCGTCAATCTGTATTTTTCCCCCACTTTTTTTAATTGTAGAGAAAGAATCGACATGAGGTAAGTTACTGTTCCATGGCCCAGTTGTACAGTGGTAGTCATTGATTTGCTATAGCTGTTTTGAAATTTCACTCCCCTTAACCCAATTTTAAGGGTCATTTTTTTTCAGTTCAATCTGAACATTCATTAGGCATCAAGCATGTACCAGACATCTGAATAGCTACTTGATGAATAGTCACTACCCCCAGGAGCTAATGGGCTAGTTGGGGAGCCAAGTACACAAACAGATAAGTTAATATAAAGCGATAAGTGATAACATAAGATTGGTAACACTTAAAATTCATGTACTTTTAAAATCTATGTCACACTTCAATTTAAGAAAAGATAAGGTAGGGATAGGGATTTAGGTGTCAGAGCACACATGAGGGGCCTTTTCTTTGACTGAGAGATTCAGGAAAAGCTTTTTGCAGAAGATGATGCCTACATTAAATCTTTCAGGATGTTTAAAAGCAAGAGACGTAAAAAGGAATACATGAAGGAGGAGAAGGGGAAAGAGAAAGGAGAAAGAGAGAATAACATGAACAAAATACAAGGCATGGATGTGTACAGGAAACTCCAAGCATATCAGCAGTTTGAGAGAGTTAACCTTAAGACAGAATTTCTAGAGAATGAGGCCAGCAAGGGAGCAGGCCTTAATATCATCCTAAGGAGATTGGTGATTCAGAACTACCAAAAGATTTTAAGACAGGGCATGACATGATCAGACGTGAAATGTGAATTATAAACAGCTCCTCTGGAAGTCCCAGTGTGAAGGATTATTTAAAATGGGGTGGGATGAGGGGTGGTTATCATTAGAGGGTAGAGACCAATGAATAGACCACTACAGTAATATGGCCAAAATAAGATAAGGGCTCTAACTAGGGCTGTGCTATTAAGGTTGGAGAGAAGAAGATGAATTTGAAAATCATTTAGGAGGCAAACATGTAGCAATCAGGAAATGGTTTTATTGGGGGAGTATAAAGAAGGATATCTAAAACAGGGGTGACAAACGAACTCATGTCAAAACTAACTGTAATTAATTGCTGGGCTTGAGCACTATAAGTTAAAAAGATTTCTGAGGCCACAGTGAGTTCAGTGGGAAAAAGTACCACAGGTGATTTGTGAACTCTACCCTGGGAATGATGGGGTAGAGTAGAGATGGGGAAGAGTAGAACATGTACCGTGTGTATTTGTCATCGCTGTTTAAGGGTGACTCCCAATTTCTGACCAGAGTGGCCTGAGAATAGTGGCACTATTAACTGTAACTGGGCATATGGGAGAAGGTATACTTTTACGTAGGGAAACTTGATGAGCTTAGTCTTAACCATGTTGATTCTGAGATCCTTGTAAGACATCCGAGTGGAGATATTTGGTGGACTGTTGACCATGTGAGGCTACACCTTAAGGGAGATCATGACTGAGAGTACAGATTTGGGAGTCAGAGGAGATAAGACAGGAGAAGAAATTCCCCCATGAGAGCACACTGAGTGAGAAAACGAGGGGCCTGGTGATAGAAGCTTCAGGTACACCAAGACTTAAGGGCAAATCAGAAGAGGGACTCATGAAGGGACAGAAAAGTTAAAAAAAAGAACCCGCAAAGTACAGTGTCATAGATGCCAGCTCTGAAGGAAAGACACAGGAATAAATGGTGGCGGGTGTGGGTGGTGCACAGTGTCAGAAGCAGCAGCATGATCCAATAAGATACGGACTAATCAGTATTCTTTAAATGCCTCCACAGGTTTTCTGGTGGGAAAGAAACCAGGCTGAAGTGTGCTTAGGGTGTGAATTTGAGGTAAGTGTAGACAGTCAGTATAGACTAGTTTTTCAGGAAGCTTAAATGAGAAGATAAGAGATAAGGCAATGAAATGGGAAGATGCAAAGTGGGCCACAAAGAACCAAAGAGACAGAAAACGGCACCTGTTCCCCAGTGCTACAGCTGTGAAGACACTGAAAGAGAAGAAGGCAAAAGTCTTTCTACTGACCCTCCCAAGGGCCCACAAGAAGCATTTTGTTTGCTTTCATTTGAGGTCTAGGCTTCCATTTTACAGTAAGCAAGTGCGTGGCCTCAGTTAGGGTATGAGCTGGACAGAGCCAAGTGATAATTCAGTGCATTCTCATCGCAAATTTGAGCTACTATCCCACAGACAGTTGTCTTCTGTTCAGCCTTGTAAATGGCTGCTGATTATAGGACAGAAACAATTAGCCCTACATTTTACAATAACTGCAATCTTTCATTAACAATGAAGAAAAAGTTCTGTGAATGCTGAATTTTCATTTTCCATAATAAATTACTAAGGGCATAGAGAAAGTTTAAGAAACATATGGCACTGTCCACCCTTGACAAACAAATAAAAAACAAAACCAAAACAAAGGAAAATGAAGATTTGAACGAGGAGTAAGCATTTGAAAATATGCATCAAGCCAAATATAAAATGTGTCTCATAAAGGAGAGGGGGGCTGTGAGTCACTAAGACTAACCCACAACAATTCTATTAATAATCTGCATTAATACCACAGGAATCCCAGGGCTGTGTTTGAAGTACAATTGTTTTAAAGAAACACATGCTGCAACAAATGAGAATAAATTTTGGGGGGTAGAGCAAAACTAAAAATCTGGGGGCTAAATAGGTCAGAGGCAGGAAAAACACAGTAATCATATTTGAAATTGCATTAGTTTCAGAAATCTAAACCACTATTAGGTTTAATAACAACAAATTTGAGATTGTGAACAGATAAACAATGACTTTGACAGAAGAATTTTTTCAAAAAAGTAAATACTGCATTTTACATGCTAATTATGCAGGCAATAAAAATATTCTTACATTCTGAGAAGAGCCTTATAAAAGGGCCGTGTGAAGAAGGCATCCAACAAATACTGGTGTATTAGTGCAAGACCAAGGATCCTACCACTGAATCGGAACCTGTGAAGGAAACACATGAGATGGCTTACATGTCATGGAGCAGTTTCTAGGTGGTTCCATATGCTTTCTAGAATGCCTTCCAGCGCTAACCATCTAAATTTTTCCAATATTAATTGCCTACTAGGTAGTGAGAATTTGTAGGCACCATGGGCTGTGTCTTCATCAGGCCAGTGGTACAGTTTGTATACTTGTCCCTGCCCAAATGTCATGTTGAATTGCAATCCCCATTGCTGGGGGTGGGGCCTGGTGGGAGGTGTTTGGATCATGGAGGCTGATCCCTTATGGCTTGGTGCTATCTTCATGATAGTGAGTTCTCATGAAATCTGGTCATATAAAAGTGTGGCACCTCCCTCCAACACACACACACACTCTCTCTCTCTCTCCCTCCTGCTTTTGTCATATGATGTGCCTGCTTCCCCTTTGCCTTCCACCATGATTGAAAAAGCTCCCTGAGACCATCCCCAAAGCCCAGTGATTTGGGTGCTATGCTTCCTGTACAGCCTGCAGAATCATGAGCCAATTAAACTTCTTTTCTTTATAAATTACCAGTCTCAGGTATTTCTTTATAGCAATGCAAGAATGGGCTAAAACAGCCAGTAATTCATACCTACTTGTTGAAGAATCAGTTTCACTCATATTTAGAGACCCTGCTCCACCTTCACTGCATATCAACAATGTAGCACCCCACATTCATGAATCCCCTGTGAGCATTTCAGTGACATTTCCCCAAACCACTTCTAAGAGATGTTGACAGATGAGACCTCTGGAGGTGGGGAAAATGCTATTCCCTCCTAGTGTGTATGCATGAATATTAGCAGAATTTCTCAATACAAACTCAGTAGCAATTCCTTTCTGAGGAAAGGCCCAGTCTCAGATCAAGAAAGTTCCTATCCCTATTCTCTCTCAAGACCCATTCCTGATATTTTCACCATTCAAGAATTGTGCACATGGACATTTGGGGGAGTTTCCTTCTGGGACATTCTGTTCTCTAAAATTTCAAGGCTCAATTCTATTCTGAATCACTTTGGAAATTTTATTAAATATATTTGTTATGACTGGATTTGCTGCCTGAGATGTAAACTTACTTTCTCTTTCAAAAGGATTCAAGTTTCTAGCTCTTTGAAAGTCTGATGCCTTCCAAAAGTATAAATCCATACTGAGATTCGTACAGTAAGTTTGTAATTTTAGTATTGGGCAGCCATTTTAAGAACAATGTCCAGCAGTATGGTTCCTCTTTATTTCCATTTATTTAGCACAACTGTAATAGTCACAGAAGAAGGACTTCAAATTGCAGCTAAACAGAAGTTAATTTGAAGAGTAAGTCCTAAAAGATAACGCCCTCCACCCAACAATATTAATCTCATGATTCAAATAAGCTTTTTCCATGAATCCTGCTCATATTCTTTCCTTTGTTGCTGTCAGGGAAAATGAACAGGAACAAGCAAACAGGGGTTATACAAATATTTGAAGTGTATAAATGCAGAGATTTAAAAAAGATGTAAGGACATTTGGAAAGAGTGCAATTTGGGATTTTCAGCATAAATAATCTTCAGATGGGAATCCTAAATCAGTTTCCTTGATTTTGTGTGAGAAATTAGGAAAGAGGGAGGCAACACCTGGTTACAAACTTCAAATGGCTAATACGGTAAGTGGCCACTGCTTGTGACTCCCCACTCCTGCCCTTCTACCATCAATGCCCCCAGGTCACTACACCAGCCCCACTGCCCACTAGAGCACCATCATTACCAGAGTTGAGAGTCAGAGCCCCAGCCAGAGTTCCAGCTGCCCTGTCTCCTCCTCCCATGGCAGCCACTGCCCCAAGGGCTGCTCTAGAAGCTGTCTGATCTCTGGGTCAGGCCCTTCCCCTCCTCATCCCCACCTCAGCTTAGAGCTCATAGGCACCCAAAGGTACAGAGAGGAATATAGGGATCTCACCAGGAACGCATCATCTCTTTCTTGCAATGGGAAATACCTTTTGAATTCTACCCAACTCACTTAAATTGATCTTATGGAGCAGATCAATTCCCAGCTATCAACAGATCTAGTCCTAGCTTGGAGACTGCCTATATATTTAAATTTGACAATAAAAACAAGAGTCAAATGAGGTATTTAACTGAAAATATGACTTTGCCCAAGGGAAAAAATGTTTTAATGTTTAAATGTGGGTTCTATAAAAAAACTAATATCATAGGAAATCGCCTGAAGAAAAGTGTTGGGGAAAAAATACTTACCATTCATGGTGATTGTCTACAAAAGCAGACATAGGACTTATTTGTACTGTGTATGTGTCATTGGCTGAATATTCAAATAAGCCATAATATGGGTTAAAGAGTTCTCTGGATACCAGGAAGAAAAACTCTCTAGAAGGCCCACTGTAATCCAGCCTGTAACAAAAATCCACAAAAAGAATAATCTGTTACTTTTTTTCTAGATATTGGGCAGTTTTTCTCCAGAGCTCAAGTTTCCATAGGATGCTCATTACAAATCTAATTGTCCACATGCCAGAGCTGTCCAAAACAAACTGAATGATCATAGTTTCTGATCTCATTGTGTCTTGACCCAGATTAGTAAAATGGACATTTATGTGGAGCATACCTAAAACTAAGCCACACATCATACAACAGGCATACAATAGGCAACATTCTAATACATACAATAGGCAATATGCTAATATTTTGATTATGTAAACATGTATAAAGAGGTAAATCTTTCGAATGTCAGGAGCAAGCTTATACAAAAAGGGAGCACAACGAGAAAGCTTTATTTAAACAGGGTAAAACCAGGGGGAATCAGTTACATATGCTCACAGGACATGGAGTCCTCATGGATATCTGAAATATTTTTAAATGGGAGAAGAAAGATACTTCCATGAATTCAAGATTAAGACATTACAGATACAAGTCCCATTAGGGAGCTCAGTAGCAAAAAATGGAGTGATAAGGTGCAAATGTTTTAAATGATAAAACACAAAGGAAAATTACAGACAAGAAAAATGAGGGTGCCTAAAGCTTCCTAAGGAAGGCATTTGGAGAAAGAGGCTGAAACTCTAACACCTGAGCTACAGTATAAATTCTACTTTACTTACAAAGATGTCAGGGTCAAACTGAAGTGTAAGAAAAGATTGTGTTAGGTCTGAGGAATGACAAGTGGCCAAAAATGACGAGAGTAAAAAATGCAAAGTAAGGAGGAGTTTGCAGTAAAGCAATGTGATGTGCTAAATTTAAAATGAAAAATATAAAGTACATCGACCCTATGATAAAAAGTATACACGTGGGCTCAAAGATAGGGAAGGAATGCTGAAAAGGGAATGAAGGCAACTGAGAAGCTGGGGTGGAGGAGGGATTGTGAAAGACTTTTCTTCTCCTTCTTCCTCTTTTCTCCCTCTATCTTATTTTTTCTTCTTTTTGAATTTTTTTTTTGTGGGCATCATTGCATTTTTTTAATGAAAAAAAAATCTGAGTCTTGTTCAGTGATAGGATTGTGTGAAGGAGGAAAAAACAGATCCTAGGCAGGGCATGTTGGCTCATGCCTGTAATCCCAGCACTTTGGGAAGCCAAGGCGGGAAGATCCATTGAGTCAAGGAGTTTGAGATAAGCCTGGGCAAGGAGTTTGAGAGAGTGACACAGTGAGACCCCCGTCTCTACAAAAAATAAGAAAAAATTAGCCAGGTGTGGTGGCATGTGCCAGTAGTCCCAGCTACTTGGGAGGCTGAGGCAGGAGCATCTCTTGAGCCCAAGAGTTTGAGGCTGCGTGAGCTATGATCACGCCACTGCACTCCAGCCCAGGTGATGGAGAAAGAACAGCAGCAACAAAAAGGATCCTATAGGCAGAAGATAAATAAAAATGGTTTACACAGAACAGACTTCAATTATTCATACTACTTTCCCAATTTTTGTTATATCTGAATATATATGTACCATTATTAATATTTTTCATTAAATCAACTTTAAATCTATTTGCTTTTTAATAGAACTTTGTCTTACACAATCTTTATAAAGTTTTGATGTGCTAGCTCTATTGTTTCCCAATGTACCTTAAAATGAATACATGAATATTAAAATAAAAAAGTCAGTCTTTGTAGTAGCTAAAATCATTTAACACATCACCAGTGGTATTAAAAATCCTCACACCCATACTGTGCTGACAGGGAACCTATATGTAAAGAAAAATGCAAACAGCAGACTCCCAGAGCCAAAGAGGCTGTAGGTGACACAATGGACCTGCCCTCTGGGGCAGCTGAATATAACATGCTAACAGGTGGCTCCCAGGATCGGTGGGACTACCCTCAGGTTACTCTGAGGACTCCCAAAGCAGTACCCTGGCTGCCTCCTCCATGCAGGGATGCACAGACTACCTGTCCCTCCTTATGCTGTGACGAAGGCAGCCTTTGCGGCTTCCTCCCGCTGACCTACTTCTGGCCTGTGACGCCGCCAGGAACAAATAGAATATTTCTTCCACTTGAACATTCTTTACATACTCAGAAGCTTTCTTTCAACAAAAGTCTGTGTGCTGATTACATATGGGGTGCTAATCTAGATCCTGAAGATATAAAACGTTTTCAAAGTCATTTTCCATTGGAACTTTAGGTTTAGCAGTTTCCATCTCCTGGTCCCAGCCTCCTTCTCTCCCTTTCCCACTCCTGAGCATGGCCACTTCCTTCAACCTTCTCTCAGGGCAGGGGTGAGAATTCCTTCTCTACCCTGGTGGCATTAAAGACTTGATCGTAACACTCCAGGTGAGGTCTTCTCAGCACAGAGCTTAGAAACTCCTCGACACTTTTCTCCGGCGATGCAGGTTAAACTTATCCTGCCTTTGGAGCAACCACTTTACTTTGTTGACTTACAAAGTGCTAGTCATCAGCTAAAGCCCGAAACCTTTCATCTAAACTGCTTTAACCCAGGACTCCCCCATCCTGTCTGCATGTAGCTGCATCTTTTAAAAGCCTTAATATGGCTGGGTGCCATGGCTCACGCCTGTAATCCCAGCACTTTGGGAAGCTGAGGCAGGCGGATCACGAGGTCAGGAGATTGAGACCATCCTGGCCAACATGGTGAAACCCCGTCTCTACTAAAAATACAAAAAATTAGCTGGGTGTGGTGGCGCATGCCTGTAATCCCAGCTACTCGAGAGGCTGAGGCAGGAGAATCACTTGAACCAGGGAGTCAGAGGTTGCAGATGGCGCCTCTGCACTCCAGCCTGGCGACAGAGCAGGACTCCGTCTCAAAAAAAAAAAAAAAAAAAAAAAAGGCCTTAACACTAGACCATACTTTTCCCGATTAAAATTTCACTTTTTGAGACTTAGTCCCCTGTGTCTTTTAGAAACAGAGCATGCCCGTGGTCAAAGTCATCTTAGAAGTCATTTTGTCCAATGCCATCATTTTATAGAGACGACTAAGGCCGAAAGAGATCACTGACTTGTATCACATGAAAACTGCAAATGGAAGAACCAGCAGGCCTTGGGGTCTTCAGGCAGGTGCCCTGACCCCAAGTTTAATGCTTGTTACTTCTTACAGCCTACCCTTCAGCCAATTTTAAATGTTCATCAAGACTAAAAAAATACTGCTAATAGAGTAGCGGTTGGCAAACCTGCAGGTCCAATCTGCCCCACCCTCTGGTTTGTAAATAAAGTGTTACTGGAACACAGCTGTGCCCATTTATGTATTGATGTTGTCCGCTTTCCTGCTACAAGGGCAGAGTTGAGTAGGTGCCATAGAGGTTTGACTGGTGAAATCCCAAATATTTACCACCTAGCCCTTTACAGGAAAATTTTGCTAACCTCTGTTACAAAAGAAAGAAAATAGGAGGAAAATACTACTTGTTAAAATATCTAGCTTATGGGCGGGGGCAGTGGCTCACGCCTGTAATCCCATCACTTTGGGAGGCTGAGGCAGACGGATCACAAGGTCAGGACCATCGAGACCATCCTGGCTAACATGGTGAAACCCCGTCTCTACTAAAAATACAAAAAATTAGCAGAATGTGGTGGTGGGCGCCTGTAGTCCCAGCTACTTGGGAGGCTGAGGCAGGAGAATGGCGTGAACCCAGGAGGCAGAGCTTGCAGTGAGCAGAGATCGCGCCACTGCACTCCAGCCTGGGTGACAGTGAGAGAGACTTTGTATCAAATAAAAAAAAAATCTAGCTTACAATATCCTAGGGTGTACGCAACCTCAAGGAGTGGGTAGAATACTAAGTGTGAGGCACAGAGTGAGCACCCGTCAGCCATGGTCATTCTCTGTGAGGCTTTCAGACACAATAGAGCATACAATGGATAAGGTCGGAGACAGCTGAAACATGAGGCAAATACTTCAGGAGTCAGTTTTCTTACAGACAACTGGTAAAAGTAAAATGGGATTTTGCCTGCTTAAAATTAAACTGTGGCATTCAGTTAGAAGTATCAGGGTTTCTTTAAGCTTTACCTCTGAGTATTTTAATAATACTGCACTTATAGAGTGCATTACAATTATCTGTCTATGTGCCTGCCTCCCCTATACATACATACTAGTCTGTAACTACACTGGGGCAGGGACCATGTTTTACTCATTTTTATATCTGTACCTAGCCTGATACACAGTGGGGGCTCAATATATATTGTTGAATCAATGAGTGGAGCTCTTTGATGCTTTCTAAAGAAAAATCAACATTGCTTACATTGTTATTTGGTATCTAGCAGATTTGCACATTTGCCTTTGAGTGGTATATTGATTCAATGACATGAACAGGTTATACCAATCCCTGAAAGGTTGCTCAATTTGAAAACATTGTCAGAAATCATCAAGTAAATTATGCTTAGAAAGTTTAACATGTAATATCTTCTCAGGTGGTAAAGTTTGCTAAAACAACAAAGACTGACCTCACTGATTAGTTCCCTTTTTATGATGATAGCTGAATCTGGCTGAAGATGAGATGAATGTTCCCTGAGGAATTAAACTGAAAATGAAAAGTCTTGTTTTCCCAAGCAAAAACAGAGCTAACAGTTAGTTCCTCTAGGAGAAAATGTGTCTTCAACTGGTCAAGTTTTTATCTGCTGACTTTTAACTCTAGAAGCACTGATGGAGTCACCTCTAAAGCCAAAATAGTCTTAAACTTTGATTTGATTATAATCCAAAGCTTAGAACTGCCTATCTGAGAGCAGGTTGTAGATTACAATTTATAAATAAGCCTAGCTAACTCAGTAAAACATGTCACAGCAGGGTACATCATGCCTTTGCTTCCTGTAATGTCTTAGCAACTTCTTTCATATAAATAGTTAATATGACTCATATCACAGGGATTGTCTGTTACATTCCTGTTTTGCCAGTTAGGTTGGTTCCACAGCTAAAGGCTTGGCACGGAAATATAAAAACTCTGGACGACGGGTGTGTAGCCGCACAACAGCTGCATCTGAGGGCATTTCCGAATAAGCACAGATGTCTCCAGGGTGGCCATGTAGTCTGGAGCCCCAAGTGCTGATAGAGCATTTTAAATATCATCACATGGCTGGGTTGGCACTCCACCCAAGTTGTCAGTGGCACCCAAAATTTGTTAAAATAACAAATTTTATTCTCCCATTCTTTATTTTCAACTAAGAATTACTGAAAACTAAGTATTCTAATGAAAGCAGACTATAAAATGAAAGAAGATGATGGCCTTGGGAAGTCACACCATTTCCTACAAGTTGGTTCAGGCACACATGGCCTACACACCTTCTGATTCACCCTCAGATATTTATAGCAGCAAGGTGTTAGTTCTTGAGCCAATTAAGAAAGCCTGGTAGGTGAGTAAGGTATTTTGATATGATAAACAAAGTCTTACCAGGTGCTACCAAACCAAAGCCTAGATACAGAAGCATCCTTCTTTAGAAAGGTTTGGGTAATTTAGGTTATCCTGTGAATGTCTCTTTTTGGAAGAAAAAAAGGGAACACCATAAAGTGTACCTTGAAGCTTCACAGATTTCTGAGAAATTAATGACCAAGCTCAGGGCCTCAAACAGCTTCTAGTGAGGATCTGACCAGTCATATGTAAGAACTGGTTGGTTACTTTATAAGCAGAGACTGAAGAAAACTCCTTCAGATCTCATCCTCCCTAGTTGCTTTCATTTGCCTGTCTCAGGGGAGTTACAGAAAGCTCAAAAGGAAGATATTACAGGAAGTTCTTAAACTCCCAAACTAAAACTGCTTGTACACATCTCCACCCCAGTCAAAGTGTGGCTCTGCAAGACATGATTGATGTCATATTGATGGCACCTCACACATAATAAACTCATTCTTTCTTAAGAAAGGTGCCTTTTACAGGGTTGGCCATGGAGAAAAAGAGGCAGGGCAATCACAGTGTAAACCTCCTCTCTTTACGCAGGCCACTATTTCTTTAATGTTTTGGGTATTAAGAAATTAGTGGCCCCACGCCTTATCAGAACACAACAGTCTAATCCAGTTTTTTTTTTTTTTTAAAGAGACAGGGTGACAGGGTTTTGCTCTGTCACCCAGGCTGGAGTACAGTGGCACAATCGTAGCTCACTGTAACCTTGAGCTCCTGGACTCAAGCGATCCTCCTGCCTCAGCCTCCCAAGTATCTAGGACTACAGACACAAGCCATCACAACCAGCTAATTATTTATTTATTTATTTTTTATAGAAATGGGGTCTCACTATGTTGCCCAATCTAGTTTGGAACTCCTCGCCTGAAGCAATACTCCCACCTTGGCCTCCCAAAGTGCTGGGATTATAGGTATGAGCCACCATGCCTAGCATCTAGGTAACTTTTTAAATCATATAACTTTAGTTGCTAGGACTTTTAATTCAAAAGAAAATAATACACTGGAGAATGTGCAGTATAATAATAGAGCTGGAAAATACGTAGAATAATTCACTGGAGAATATGTAGTATTTCATTGACCTCAACCCTAGAGAAGCAACTTCTTAGTAGACTGATGCCCAGCAGAAATAGGCAACCCCTGCGTGCAATTTCACGCCACATTCAGTCAAGATGACTCAGTTTTCAGCCACTCCACCACTGCCGATCTCCCTTCCCCACAACTTTGCAAAGGCAGATAACCAGATTAAGTTGTGTGGAAATTTTCATGACTAAAGCAAAACCTCCAGCTCTAACCAAATTAAATCACTAGTTACAAGATAGGGCTTAGAAACTACCTACTTTTTGTAAAAAGCCAAAGCATAATATAAAATGTGATCTTAGTTGGTGATGAACTAATCAACTAAAGTATTTGTATTTATAGACTCTAGGATTATTTTTGTATTTTTTTTTTGTTTTTAGACCCAGTCTCGCTCTGTCGCCCAGGCTGGAGTGCAGTGGTGTGATCTCAGCTCACTGCAAGCTCTGCCTCCCAGGTTCAAGCAATTCTCCTGCCTCAGCCACCCTAGAAGCTGGGAGTACAGGCACTCACCACCATGCCCAGCTAATTTTTTTGTATTTTTATTAGAGACGGGGTTTCACCATGAGTTAGCCAGGATGGTCTCAATCTCCTGACCTCGTGATCTGCCTGCCTCAGCCTCCCAAAGTGCTGGGATTACAGGTGTGAGCCACCACGCCTGGCCTTATTTTTGTATTTCTAAATTGAATACATACATCTCTAGTATTGTGGGGCTAATTCTACCTTGCATGGAATTTGCAGCCATCCTGTAAATTTCTGACTATAAATTTTCCCATCATTTCTCTTGACTCAACTATTCTATTTTAGGAACAATTTATATATCATGTTTCAGATGTATGCAAATAAAGAAAGTGGAGCTGAAATCTCTCTGCTCATTCACACCTTTTTTGGAGCACAGGTAGATGCATTATTCTTTTTTTTTTTTTTTTTTTTTTTTTGAGATGGAGTCTCGCTCTGTCGCCCTGGCTGGAGTGCAGTGGCGTGATCTCGGCTCACTGCAAGCTCCGCCTCCTGGGTTCACGCCATTCTCCTGCCTCAGCCTCCCGAGTAGCTGGGGACTACAGGCACCCGCCACCATGCCCGGCTAATTTTTTTTGTATTTTTAGTAGAGATGGGGTTTCACCGTGCTAGCCAGGATGGTCTCGATCTTCTGACCTGTGATCTGCTCGCCTTGGCCTCCCAAGGTGCTGGCATTACAGGCATGAGCCACTGTGCCCGGCCGATGCGTTATTCTTTAAAATAAACTCCCTTTTCTTTATGCTTTAGCTAATCTACTGTAAATAAAGACTTTGATGGTGACAGGTAAAATATAATCACTGAAATGATATCAATATGAATTGCAAAGTATTAGTCCCTCATAGACAACACAGTTGACATAAGCAACACAAAATAATACTTTATATATACCAATGCCACTACTAATTTGGACTTCCCACAGAATTAACCCCATATATACACTTATTACTCTAATGACCTCAAGTGCAGACAGAGGCATATACATACCAAAATTTACCCTGGGGGCTGTCATTTATCAGATAACAAGGAAACAAATTGTCCAGGGAAACATTTCCTAAATCTCCCCGAATCCTGACTGCATATTTTCTTTTAATAAATGTTTTGTTTTAGAATAGGTTTTAACTTACAGAAAGATTGCAAGGATAAAACAGAGAGTTCTTGTACACCTCACACACAGATTAACATCTTACATTAGTATAATACATTTGTTATAATTAATAAACCAATATTGATACACTATTATTAGCTAAAATCCATACTTTATCTACATTTCCCTAGTTTCTACCTAATGTCCCTTATCTGTTCCATGATCCCATACAGGAAACCACATTACATTTAATTGTCATGTCTCCCTCTTGGCTATGACAGTTTCTCAGGCTCCTCTGGTCTTTGATGACCTTGGGAGTATTAAAGAGTACTGGTAAGGTATCTTGTACAATGTCTCTCAGTTGGGATTTTGTCTAACATTTTTCTCATGGTTGGACTAGCATTATGTGTTCGGGAGGAAGACCACAGAGGTAAAGTGCCACCCTCACGCATCATACCGAGGGTACATATTATCAACATGACTTGTGGCTATTGATGTTGACCTTGATCACCTGACTGCCATAGTGTTTGTCAGGTTTCTCTACTGTGAAGTTACTTTGTTCCCCCTCTTTCCATACTATACTATTTGGAATAAAGTCACTATGCACATTCCATACCTAGAGTAGAGAGTTATGCTGATTGTATGGAAATATTCTGCAAAATAGATTTTTTCTTTTTTAGTGAAACCTTTCACCAGCTACAACATAACAGAGTTTCTTTCAGTCTAATTGGGCCAAATTACATCATGTGCCTACCCCAGACCTACAGCAGTTTCTGAAGGGCATATTTTCTACTGTTTGCCTTAAACAAATTGATATCTACCTTGAGAGCAGTGATTCTTTTTTTTTAAATTGTTATTCTTGTTTATTTCAATAGATTTGTGGGGAACAGGTGGTGTTTGGTTATACGAGTAAGTTCTTTAGTGGTGATTTCTGAGATTTTGGTGCACCATCACCTGAGCAGTGTACACTGTATCCAATGTGTAGTCTTTTATCCCTTGCCACCCCCAACTCTTTCCCCCAAGTCCCAAAAGTTCAATGTATCATTCTTATGCTTTTGTGTCCTCATAGCTTAGCTCCTACATATGAGTGAGAATGTAAGATATTTGGTTTTCCATTCTTGAGTTACTTCACTTAGAATAATGGTCTCCAATTCCATCCAGGTTGCTGTGAATGTCATTATTTCGTTCCTTTTTATGGTTGAGTAGTATTCCATGGTGTATATATATACCATGTTGGCTCTATCCACTCATTGATTGATGGACTTTTGGGCTGGTTCCATATTTTGCAAAAGATATTTTTCTACTTTTCTATTCTTCCCCATTTATTTATGTATTCAACCATGTATTTATATCAGTATGGTTATTTATTTTATACTTTGGTTTATAATCAATAGCCTTGTATTTATTTTGTTGCTCAAATTATCTCAGCTTTGTCCATTGGGAACTCTTTCAGTTGGCTCCTGGGTTTTTTCAACATACCCCACGACTGGGATTTTTGAGGATTTCTTTAATCTCTGGCAGACACCAAAAGATGCTTCGGGCTGCATCTTGTATATTTCCTGCTTAGTGTTAGAATCAGCCATTTCTCTAAAAACCTTGATTCTTAGATCTGGGTGCCAGATACATGTGTTTTTAAATGCTCATTACTAGACCCAGACATGAAGAACTTACAAAATGATACATTTTGAGGGGATTAGAATTGGTAAAGAGAAAGTAACAGAAAACCTCCATACAAAACAAATTAGCTGGGCGTGGTGGCATGTGCCTGTAGTTCCAGCTACTCAGGAGGCTGAGGCAGGAGAATCACTTGAACCCAGGAGGCGGAGGCTGCAGTGAGCCAAGATCATGCCACTGCACTCCAGCCTGGGCAGCAGAGTTAGACTCTGTCTCAAAAAACAAAACAAAACAAAACAAAAAAACAGAAAACCTCCAGCTCCATTTTTATAGTTCAATGGAAAATTTGGGTCGCTCTTCCCTTTGGGTATGTATTATAATCCAGAAAAAAAGTTAGGGTTGTTCATTTTCATGTGATAGAGTCAGTGTGTTTGAGAAGGTGGCAAAGGCTAAAAGAGCTCCTTACTTTTATGTAGCTCAAGGTTTCTTTCTTTCTTTCTTTCTTTCTTTATTTTTTTTAGCTTTCTATTTTTCCAGCACAATTACTGTTTTCATCTCTCAAAAACAGCATATGTATCCTCGGTACCTCAATAGCAAATTAAAGTCTATATCTAATAATTTATGATACTGACCTGACAAAGTCATGAGTCCAGAAATCCAGCTTCAATAAACCATATGCAGAGTGAACAGATTAAGAAATTGTCCCTGCTAACTGAGCTCACAGCTTAGAACATCCTCTCCCTTGTTTTCCCTCCGATGTCACAGGAAGGAGACAGATGATGGAGGCAGGAAGCATTTGGACATCAATGTAATGTAATCAAATACAGAGGCATCAAGCCCCACTCACCCTGGACCTCCTCCTAGGAACTAATGTCATTAATCCACACCATGAGGAGACTGCTTTAGGAAAACCAGTCATGATAAACGTCTGTTCTATTCAAACTTAAATATCAGTGCTTCCAAAGACTCTTCCCTATATCTTTGAGATCTCAACAAACTCTGGTCCAACAATGAAGGGAGGCAGCTGGAGTTCTGGGGGAGGAAAAGTATTCTCATCCAAACCAGACTGATTATGTAAGGAAATACTTGGAATCTCATGCATACTGGTGATTAGGCTAACATTTGCCTTCATTTTCAACTGTGCACCTTCATCTTTAAGCCAACTAACACAAGTGAGAAGTCCACTTATGCACATCAGCAATGAAAGGCTCAGATCTCATGCAAACTTCTGTACAAATTTTGTCATGTCATAGTGTGTTTGCACATACTACTTTACCTTAATGTAGGAATAGCTGGGAGACTACACAGCACTGCATGTGACAAGAGCGGAAGTTATCAGTCATTAGCTGGAATGGGCAAAATGTCCAGAGATAGGAAAAAATTCAGATGGGCTGGAGTGCAGGAGTTTTGCTTAGGTCCCAGAGCTAGTCCAAGAGTACCAGATGAAAGACAAACGGCCTGAATTTGAATCCTGATTTTTCTATTCCCTAGTTCCATCAGCAGATGCAAATTATTTTATAGTTTGGAGTCATTATTTCATCCACTGTGTACTGAATGGCTGAATTTGTTCAATATCACTAATATGATTCCATAATCTAATATACTTTATTCCCAGGCATGACTGAGAGGGATAGCCTTAAAATGATCCAAATCAACAAGAGCCACAGAGAACACAATCAGACAATTGTATGGTATTAGAAAAATTCCCTCTAGCAGCTGCTGAGTTATGAAGAAGATGTTGAGACTTGAACCCAGACCTGAAATGAGGAAGAAGGGGTCTGGGAGGGATGACAGCTGGCCTCTTCTAATGTGATGTGTAATAACAGTTATGTCTATTTGGGCACAACAGACACTGTGTAGGAGTCTTCCCCGCTTCATTTCCTAACCCTTATCTTGACGAGCACACTCATGGAAGAGTCATGGAAGGCGGGACATGTTTGTTTATGTTAGGTAGTAATGTTGGTAGGTGTGCTGCCTTCCCAAGGGAAGAGAAAAACTGGAGGCAGAGAAATAAGAGCCAAGGCCCAAGAGTTACTTCTGTGGAGGCTTCTGGGTAGAACAGCAAGATTCTAATTCATGTTTCTGAAACTGAACTTATTTAATAGAGGAAGCACGTTCTACCTAGCCCTGCAGGGTAGAAAATAAGATCACAGATCACAAAGGAATTGCATAAATGCAATTCCTTGTTTTTTTTCCTTGTAAAGCCTTACTTTTTCCCTTTAAGAGAAAGAGAGGTCCGGAGAGAAGAAACTGAACTAGGCTTCTGTTCTCAAAAATGATCTAAAGCTACAAGTTTTTACTAAAGGATTTCTATGTCAAGTGATTTAAAAGCCAGAGGAGACCTTTAAAAAAAAAAAAGCCCAAAGGTTTAAGTGTATGAGAACAGCACTTCCTGGCAGAAGGATTTCCTGTTTCAGGCAACCACAGCGACGTGGAGAAACATCCGCCTTGTGGCCACAGCCTATGTTCCACAGGCCACTTCTCTGTTCTACTCACCCTTCCTCCCCAACGAAGGTGACATATAGCTTATTTCTCTGCAGGTCTTTTCTGGAGTAGCCCATAATCTGATTAAAAGCATCTTCTAGTAAGTGATCTCTTCGGATAATTAACCTGTCCATAAAGAGACAATTTAGAAAATACAAATTATTACTATACTATTAAAGATAATTTACTTATCTTTCTAGAACATTTCCATTTGCCACAATTAACTAGGTAAGAAGAATGTTACTTAATATCATTGCTGTCTGCAATAAAGTACACATTTGTCTTGAACTCTTAATAGCATTAGCAAAAGTTACATGAGAGAATCATTGGTAGAGTACCCTACCTATGACCAGTGTAAACAACCGGAGAATCCTATCTAAATGGTCAAATCAGTTTATCCCAGAAAAAAAATGATCATAAAACAACACCACACACACCACACACACCGCCCCCCGCCCATACATTTTGTTTAGTAAAGCAAGAACAACTCTATGAGGCAATGTTTTAAGTCTCAATGCATGTAGACAAGGAATTCAATTATTAAGTGCCCAGCAAGATGACTGTGAGAACAAAGAGGAAAAAAAAAATTCTCAATATCCTCCAAAGCAGAGGAGTTTCCAATTGTTAATTGTTAAATTAAGTGAATCTTGACAGTCCCTAAGGGACAGATACAAATGAATGATGAGTGTGGCAGGTTAATCTACTTGTGATGATGCCAATTAAAGTCATCCTTCCATAGATATCAATTTGCTCTTAATGTAAATGGTAATGGGCAGAGAGATGATAGGGAGGCTGAATGCATGACAGCTGGATCATCCTAGACCTTTGTAAGTTAAGTGTGAGAAAAGTAAAGCTCAGAGAAGTATGGTGTTTGGGCAGGCAGATGATTTTTTAGGGCAATGAAGGTGGATTTTAATCAAGCAAGCCTTCCTGCAGGTGGGGCAGTGAGCCATGGGGCTGCTGTTGGTCTGGTCTCTGGACCGTCTCTCAGGCACCCAGGGTCACAGGGGTGCTCCAGTGGAGACCGTCCCTCCTCTGTCCTCTCTCAGTGGCAGACTGATCTCCAGTGGGGACGTGGGACAGGGGTGAAGGCAGGGAGGAGAGAAAGAAGGGTAAGTAGGGAATGGAAACAATTCTAGGCCAAACAACATGATGATGTTTCAGTTTCCCCATTTGAAAGGAGGAGATGGATGAAGAAAGGCCGAAACAACATTCATGACATGTTCTGCTGTGAAGTTTGTTTCACAGAACTGAACAGAGCTGAGCACTATTCCTACACTCAGGTCAGTTCAGGAGACAGAAACTTGCAGTGGAGGACATTGGGATAGCTTTATAGCTAATGAATATACTATGCACCAACAAAGACATACTTTTCAGAGGAAAAAAATAAATCAGCCTTTTATTTTGCCTTTATTTTTGCATGAAAAGTGGCAGTGTCTTCACTATTTGTTTTAAAATGTTAAGCTTAATCATGTTTCATTCCAGGACTATGTTTTAGATGATCCTATAATTTACAAATTCCAAAATAATTATGCCGACTAAAATGAAGGCTAGTCATCCCAAATCACAATCAATTTCCTAGAGGCCCAACTGTGCCCTCTCCTTTCACCATCTATACATTATGTGGTTTGTGTCACTTTGACTTACTTTAACTTCCCTGGGCCTTGTCCATATCCTTTAGTCTCTAACTTCCTGTAAAAGTTCCTCAGTTTGGCTTCGAAATCCCGCTTGTAAGGGGCTGGAGCCCGGGCATTGGCACGCTGGGTACCTGCAGCAAACCACAAAGAGAGGACAATCTGGATTTGTGCCTCGTCCTTATGTTCATCACATCACCATGGACAAAAGCTATCACAATCAACAAGTCAAATGAGGCAACTGTCTTAACTTCTGCATTTTTGATTTCTGCAAGTTGAAGGATATAACAAACCTCAACCAAGGTCTTAAGTGACGTCCTCTTTGTGGCATTTTGGTTGAGAATAAAAATTCTGTTTGAATAGTTACAATGGTGCCCATGTGTTTCTCAAGTATGTTCCCCTTTTCAGTCGAAACTAATATGAGTCAAACAGAGTTACTCATGTCTAGTAGTAACTGTTAGGATGAAATGTCTTTGCTTGCTGCTGAAATGATATCATGGCAATTAGACAGGAAGTTGCAATGGAAAGTACATGGTATATAAGTAAGTGGCACCAAGAGTGAGGTTTTAATCATTCACTCTAAATTCCTCACCAAAAAACTCCTCATGAAACTTTTTTTTTTTTTTTTTTTTTTTTTGAGACGGAGTCTTACTCTGTCACCCAGCAGGCTGGAGTGCAGTGGTGCAATCTTGGCTCACTGCACCCTCCGCCTCCTGGGTTCAAGTGATTCTCCTGTTTCAGCCTCCCAAATAGCTGAGATTACAGGTGCCTGCCACCATGCCCAGCTAATTTTTGTATTTTTAGTAGAGACAGGGTTTTGCCATGTTGGCCAGGCTGGTCTGGAACTCCTGACCTCAGGTGATCCACCCACCTCAGCCTCCCAAATTGCTGGGATTACAGGTGTGAGCCACCGCACCTGGCCTACAAAACTTCTTTTAGATATGCACTATCACCAAGAATGATTTTAGACACATAATTACATAAATCTCATATTGCAGGGTAAAATCTTAATATAACACATAATTGCAAAAGGCACCTGTCTCACTTGCACAAAGTGCGCACTTGCACAAAGAATAAATAATATTAATATTTATTGGATTCTTTTTTTTTTTTTGAGACGGAGTTTCGCTCTTGTTGCCCAGGCTGGAGTGCAATGGCACAATCTCAGCTCACCGCAACCTCCATCTCCCGGGTTCAAGTGATTGTCCTGCCTCAGCCTACTGAGTAGCTGGGATTGCAGGCATGTGCCACCACGCCCGACTAATTTTGTATTTTTAGTAGGGTCATGGTTTCTCCATGTTGGTCAGGCTGGTCTTGAACTCCCGACCTCAGGTAATCCACCTGCCTTGGCCTCCCAAAGTGCTGGGATTACTGGTGTGAGCCACTGCGCCAGACCATTTATTGCATTCTTAACATGTGCCAAGTACTGAGAATATCTAGATTATATAAGCATATTTTATACGTTATTCAATGGTAATTATCACTAATAATATGTAAAAGTAACATTGTTTCTCTTTCCTTTTTTTTGACACGGAGTTTTGCTCTTGTTGCCCAGGCTGGAGTGCAATGGTGTGATCTCGGCTAACCCAACCTCTGTCTCCTGAGTTCAAGCGATTCTCCTGCCTCAGCCTCCCGAGTAGCTGGGACTACAGTCTTGCACCTCCACGCCCAGCTAATTTTGTATTTTTAGCAGGGACGTGGTTTCTCCATGTTGGTCAGGCTGGTCTCGAACTCCTGACCTCAGGTGATCCGCCCACCTCGGCCTTCCAAAGTGCTGGGATTACAGGCGTGAGCCACCATGCCCAGCCAATTGTTCCTCTTTCCATAGAAAAATCTGGTTTTGTGTCACTGGGTAACACAAGCAGCAGGTTGGGATAGAAAACTGATGATGAATATGGAAATCAGACACAGAGCCATGACAAAAACACTGGATATTTCCACTAAATATTTCCCAACCAATGAAAGAAACCAGAAAACAAAAGCTGGGAAGTCTTGTTCATTACATACCATGTAAGTTCATTAAAAATGTCTCTAACAAATGAGTGAACTAAATAGTTGTTATTCATTGGGAATACTATGTTAGGTTCACCAATGGATGTCCAAAATGAGTAAGGTGGGGTTGCTGGAGTGGGTTGGGGAAACAGAAATAAAACATCAAACAATTAGAGAATAATTAAGTCCTGAACTAGGTATACAGACTAGAAAGCAGAGGAAACAAAGCTATACCCCTGGGGCTATACCTAGTCCTATAGATCCCAGTTGCTTGCCCCATAATCTTTTTTGAATATTTTAAATTAATTGCCAACATTTACAAATTAAATTTCAAATTTAAAAATTCCAGATTTTTCTCTTGAAAATTATTTGGGAAATCTTGCAATGACTGGCTTGCATTTCCTTGGGGATCCAGCGGGCAGCTGCAGCTACTCTGTTAGACGAGGCATGAGCTCACCACTTTGCGGCAGCCACTCAATGACATGGCTGCCTGCCCCCCAAGCCCCGCAAGCATTTGTTAAGATCAGTGTTACACAAAAGTAATAGTAATGTTATAAAAAAGAAATGAGTATAAGTAGAGATCAAAGTGGAAAAGGCCTTAGGGAGGAAGCTTAATTGGAACCACACCTTGCAAAAGAAGGAGAATTTATATCCTAAAGTGGAACACAGCAGCAACAGCTGGCATGAGCACTGCATGTGTGTTCAGAAGACACCAAGAGAACCAAGCTAGCCTAGAGTGGAGGAGGAGTGCTGGGAGTAAATGGGAAATGAAATTGATCAGAAGGGTTGGAGCCAAATTATGACAAGAATTTTTAAAACCTAGCAGAGGAGTTTGGGCATGATGCAGTGAACAGTGCCTTTATAGGTTCTTGAGCAGAAGAATAACATACAAATGGTGTTTTATTTAAGAAATTATTTTCAGAGTGTGTTGAGTAAATTAAGGGTGGGCAAGAGGAAAGAGCCCCAGTTAGGAGTTGTTGCAGTAATTGAAGCCTGAGGGGATAAGGACTAGACTGGAGTGAGTGACTCAGAGAAACATCTACAATGTGAAATATGCACTGGGAAAAGAATAGATAAGCAAGAAAGAAGAATGGGAAGCATGATGATAATATAAAGTGTATTTAAACAATAACAACAGGTCTTACTTGTTAAGCGCCTGCTGTACATTACAGATGATGCACGTTACACAGGGGATCTTGAGAAATCCTCACAAGTCTACGAAGCGGGTATTACTAGGACCATCACACACCACTTTGCAACTAAAGAAAATGAAGGTGCAGTTTCCTGTCCAAGTCATATTCCAGTGACAGTAGATTTGGGATTTGAGCCAAGTCTATCTACCTGATGCTATGAAGAGTGTGGGAAGTGATGCAGGTGGACAAGGGCATGTGAAACTTTATACATATTGACTTGGATATGACAGCTAACAAAATGCCCTAGAGACTGAAAAATACAGGGCTGGAATTGGGGTGAGAGCTCAGGGCCACACGTGTGGATGAGCTGAGTTAGTGTGTTTATGGCACTTTATGCAGTGACTGTTGCATAAGAGATCCCACGTAAGTGTTAGCTGTTGTTATCTGCATAGAGGTGAATACTAAAGACAGGGAAATGAATTGAGATTTTACTAATGAATTTGTACAAAACTGGCTATTGACCAATAATCTGTCTGGAGATCTGTTTGTATAGCTGGGCAAAGAGCTGAGTTATGTCATAAAGCAAGTGAATAAACTTGACTTTAAAGATCTGGGAAGCAGAAGAGACTCCTAGGCAGGGGTTCTCAATCTTGACTGCACATTAGAATCACTTAGGAAGCTTTTAAAAATTCCAATGTTCAGGCCACACCCAAGATGCATTACAACAAAATGTGTAAAGACCCAGAATGTGGGGTGGGACCCAGGCATGAGTGTTAAATACAACTGTCCAGATGATTCCAATGTGTAATGTGTAGCTATGGCTGAGAACCACTATTCCCTTATAAGAAGGTCAAACATCACCAGTGAAACACATGGGCAGCATCCAGGGACTAACACAGGGCAAATGTTTCCTGTGTACCGAAAGGCATAATTTGCAACACGAAGGAACATTATCTCCATGAACACAAGGCTGCTCTCCTAGATGAATGAGGGATAGGACCGTGCAGTTCAAGTCCACTCAAGGGTGGCACAATCAGTGTCAGTGCTCCAGTCTGAGAAACTGCAGACTAGAAAACCCAGACAGGGCAGAACGCAGCTGTAATGAATCAACTTTCAAGAGCAAAATCATTGATAAGAGAGAGAAAAATGAAGAACAAGGAACTGAACGAAAATCTTTTAAGACACAAAAGAAACTTTTTTTTTTTCTTTAGACGGAGTCTCACTCTGTCGCCCAGGCTGGAGTGCAGTGGCACGATCTCGGGCACTGCAAGCTCCACCTCCCGGGTTCATGCCATTCTCCTGCCTCAGCCTCCTGAGTAGCTTGGACTACAGGCGTCTGCCACCACGCCCGGCTAATTATTTTTTTGTATTTTTTTAGTAGAGACGGGGTTTCACCATGTTAGCCAGGATGATCTCGATCTCCTGACCTTGTGATCCACCCCCCTCAGCCTCCCAAAGTGGTGGGATTACAGGCATGAGCCACTGTGCCCTGCCAAGAAACATGTTTTTTTAAGAGCTGATTACTTTAAAAAACAGCACAGACACTAACTACTCCTATATAATTTGAGATGCTTAAAAGGACGTGGGAAATGCCATAATGCATTCCATCAATATCAATACAGACACAATAAAAATTAGCTCTGATTCTGTTTATACTCTAGGTAAAGGGATTTAATTATAAAAACTCTGAGACAGCAATTGTTAAATGCAAAAATTCTTTTGCTCATAGTTCCATCATGAAAGAAGTCATTTACACATTATTTCATTTTAAAATTATAGTAAATTGGCTGGGTACGGTGGCTCACGCCTGTAATCCCATCACTTTGGGAGGCTGAGGTCGGTGGATCATGAGGTCAGGAGATCGAGACCATCCTGGCCAACATGGTGAAACCCCGTCTCTACTAAAAACACAAAAATTAGCTGGGTGTGCTTGTAGTCCCAGCTACTTGGGGGGCTGAGGCAGGAGAATCACTTGAACCCAGGAGGCGGAGGTTGCAGCGAGCCGACATCGCACCACTGCACTCCAGCCTGGCAACAGAGTGAGGCTCTGTCTCAAAATAAATAAATAAATAAATAAAATTACAGTAAATTATGCTGTTGGCCTTTGTCAAATTCTTAATACAAGTGAGGTATAATTGCCAAGAAATTCCAGAGCAGGAATGATGTTACTTCCACTTTGGAAATACAAAATGTTCTTGGAAGATTGCGCTAATAAAATTGTGTGAGAACTACAAGTGAAGTTCTAGGTCATAATACTTTGTAGACAGAGGAATTTTATGGTCTTTACAGTCTTAAAGAAAATCAGGTACAAAAGATCAATGTTACATCAAATGAAGGGCTGACTTCATGGATAGTCAGCATTTTGCTAATACTGTGCAGGAAAAAATTTCAGTAACAGACACTAGGGAGTTTTTGCTTTGTCATTGCTAGGCAGGTCTAAAGAACTTCTATATTGTGTTACCCTATTTTCATATACTGTTACAAAATTGCATAATCATATACAAACTAAAGAATTCTATCTGACAAAATATTTCAGAAGACACTAGAAATAGCTTGGCATCCAACTCCCGGGCAGTCTCAGTCTTTTTTGATTCTGGGTGTGTGACCCAGAACCTGGACTGTTCTGATGACTAGCACTGGTTCTCCGTATTGGACAGGGGCTGGATCTTAGCCTGATCCAGCATGGCTCCATGCCTCTGTCCTGGGACAGCTCAGACGCTCATCTCTTTCCTGGTTCACTTTCAAAAAATCCCTATGACATTTAAAACAAATGCCCTGTGAGTGAATGAAAACAAAACATCAAGCACTACAATAATTTCTGGAAGGCTCCATCTTCTGGAACATAGCTCAACGCTGGAACTTAACAAAAAACACGTCCAAATCCCTGGCACAAAGCACAAGCACTGAAAACCTGGCATTTTTGCTTTATTCTCTGAGTAGTAAAAGGCCCTCGAGTCATTTCTTGGAGCTTGCTGATGTTCATGTACATACCATTTATTGAAAATAACTTAATGCTCTGACTTCTCAAACCTTGACAGAGATCTTGGCAGGGAAGTGATTTATTAAAGGGAAATGTAAAGGGTCTGCCAATAGCAGGCACCCTCTGATAGCTCTATGGGTGAGGACAAGGGAGACTAACAACACAAAAAGTTAAGTCTCTATACTATGAGAGAGACAGTGTCTGTGGCTTTCTTTTGGTCTCTGGGATCACAACTTCCCCATCCCTACCCACCCAGGGAGCATCCTTCATTTGTGCAATTTGGTTCCTAGATCATCTTTGTAGGGCTGAGTCAAGGGAAGGGATCAAACACCTTTTCTAAAAACAACTCTAAAGCTACTTCAGGGACTGTAGGAAAGGTGGGGAAAGGGAGAGGGACAGATGAGAGAGAGAGAGACAGACAGACACACACACACACACACACACACACACACACACAGAGAGAGACAGAGAGGAATAGAGAGGGAGGAAGGAAGAAAAGGAGAGAGAGAATGAGCAGAGAAGAGGAACTGTTTGTGAAAAGAGAAGATGACATAAACAGCTGGTAAAATGCTAAGACTTTGTGGTGGGAGAAAGAAAACGAAGATCATTAAGGGCACACAATGTGGTGGGAGAAATAATTCCCTCTCACAACCCATCCCCTCAAGACAATCTTTAGTAAAGACCCACAGGGCTCTTCTGTGCTCTCTGAGTGTTTTACTTCTGTTGAAGGTGACTTTCTGCTGGTGCTAGTTTCCAGGGAGTCCAGCTCTAGTCAAGTAACAAGAGCTCTGCATCATGATTCATAGGCACAATGATCCCCCCAAACCATGAAATATCCTCAATGTGCAGTGTATAGGAAAGTAAAGAGAAATATAATATATTTATGAAAGAGTTTCAGCAAATAGGGGGTCAAACAAATTCTCATACAGTTAAAATCATAGCTTTGGTTACCTGGAAAATCCACATAAGAGAGCACATCTCCAATAATATCAGATAAATTAGGTGTTATTGCATTTAATTTCCTAGAAATGTGCAGCTTAAATAAACTTCTGGGTCCCATATTTGGCATAATAAGCCACATGGTGTTTGGAAAGATCTTTTCCTTCTGGCATCACTGAGGTTGGGATTGGCATTATAATGGTCCTAGAAAAACAAACCTTCACATTCCAAAATTTTGACAAATTTTGGTGAGCACTCTAACAGCTGCAAAAAGCAGTGAGTCAAAGTTTCCAAAGCCCCTCTCTCTTCTGCACTTGAAAATACATGTCAACGTGCTTGGAATGAGGAAAAGGGGGAAAGTTTACCAGGTTCCTAGGAATTCTCAATGAAGATCATTAAAATTTATTACTGTCATAATTTTCAAGATATTATTCTCACACCACTAAAAGGGGTGAAATTATAGTCACAAGGAGGATCAGACCACTTAAAAAAATCTGTTTGAAATGTTGCTTTCACAAAACCTTCAGGAATCCTGGTAGAAGGAGAAGCTATTTTATTCAAAGGAACAGAAGATTCCTCCAGAGGGGAAATGAGGTTAGGTAGTCCTGCCCTGGTATCATGTGGAATTTGTTATAGTGACTTCCATTGATATCAGGCTGTACAACCCAGTTTCAAGATCAAACAAAGCCCACTGAAACAGAGTAGGCCAGAAATATGGAGATGATTCTTCCTGAAAATTAAAACCACCACAAACACTGCTAGCAATTTAGATATATTTGGGTTACACAGGTCTTTGGAAAATGTTTAACTCTAAATGTAAGTTTCTAGAATGGATTTTATTGTCACCAATGATTACTCATGTGCATTTGCGATGCTAAATGAGGAAGTGAACTCAGCCACATTTAGAGTGCTCATACAGTCTTGAAGAATGTGTGCAGTCTTCAAGTGCATGCCTTTAAAGAGCACGGAAGGGGCAGCATTTGGCAATTTACCTTTTCCTCAGGGAGGAGAGGCCACACAAAAGGCCTGGAAAAGGACAGCCTTGACTGGCACGAGCAACAATCCACATGGCTTCATGTCTTTAACCATAAAACACAGGTAAAGGGATGGTCCACTTTAAACCCCAGCATAGGCTCTTACTAAGATAAAGTCCACTCTGCATGATTAAATATCTAAGCAGACAGCTCTGCAAATCAGGGTTCGTATGTTCCAGTTGTTAATGGTTCAAATGTGAACAAACTACTTCTCAGAATCAAATTTCCAGAAAGAAAGAAAGAAAAAGCGACACATTAACCTTTATTGGCTACTTGTTATGTTCCAAGCACCAAGCAAAGTGTTCTCCAAAAATAATCGTGAGAGGTGAGGTAATTATTGTTATCTCTATTTTATAGAAAAAGAGATTCAGGCTCAGGGAAGGAGGTACCCTGCCTAAAGTCAGACAGTTGCTAAAAGAATGAAATTCCCAGTTGGGAATTTCATGAAGTTTTCCCCTAAACCTTTAAACTTACCTGTAGTGTCATACACTTCTTTCAGCCTGTGTCATCAAAATAGGTGTCCCTATTTTGTTCCAAAGTTGGCCTGTGTTTCTTCCTTCAGTGTCGTGCTGCCCATGAGCCTGCCTTATTCCACAAACCACTTTCCTTCCACTCACGTCCTGTGTCCTCTGCACATGTATGCTCAACTTCCCATCCTAAAATTCCTTCCCTCTCTCTTCTCCTAACTACTGTTCTATTTTGCTTTCTTTTTACCTCCAGATTTCGTGAAAAGAGCATTTGACTTCTGCTTCAGATCCTGTATCATTCTGTCACCAATCATGATCCGGTTTATAACCTATTACTTCACAGAACCTGCTTTGGCAAAGACCATTGATAATGTCATGATTTTCAAATCTAAATGAGGCCTCTTTTCAGATCTCATCCTTCTTGATGCCCTATCCCCCTTTTGAGACAGGGTCTCACTCTGTTGCCCAGGCTGGAGTGCAGTGGCATGATCATGGCTCCCTGCAGGCTTGACCTTCTGAGCCCAAGTAACCCTCCCACCTCAGCCCCCGTGAGTAGCTGGGACTTCCTGAGCCCTTTGAGCATGTGGCTCTATTGACCACTCCTCTGTGAAACCCGGCTCCCCTGAAAAGACTTTCCTAACTCTATTCAAAATCTGTTGGCTCTCTTTCTTTCACTTGCTTCTCTGTCTCAGCTCATCCCTTAAATATTGAGGTTTCTCATGACATCATCCTCTATTTCCTCTCCTTTTCAATGACTTTCTCCCCAGTTGCTTTAGTCTATACTCTAGGTTCCAGTTGCCACCAGTACACTGAACTCCTTGCTTTCAACCTCTCCTGTGCGCCATGGCTGCCATTTCCAGCTGTCTTTGGGAATCTCCCATTGATGGCCCAAAGATTTCTCAATAAAACTTGTCCAACACCAAACTCACTCAATCTTCCAATTTGAGTCTAACCATTTCCCATTCTTGGCAGAGGGTGCTACCATCTGCCTGGTAGCCTAGGTAGTGAGGGCCTTTGAATCTTCCTTGACTCTTCCCTACCTCTACTCAAAGTCCTGATGTCTCTGCATCCTACATATCCCTTCAATTTGTTCCCTGGTCCCCATCTCCACTGCCTAGTCCAGTCTTTCATCATGTTACTCTGGCTAATGCAATGGCCTCTCTGAGAAACTGTCTCTAGTCTCTCATTTTCTAATTTATCCTCCCAATTGCCACCAGACTGATCTTTGAAAAGCAGGATATTATTGGTATTCCTCTGCTTATACATTTTCAGTGGCTTCACATGGACAATAGAATAGGGCTGGCTGGGCGTGGCAACTCACACCTGTAATACCAGCACTTTGGGAGGCCGAGGCAGGCAGATCATTTGAAGTTAGGAGTTTGAGACCAGCCTGGCCAACATGATGAAACCCAGTCTCTACTAAAAATACAAAAATTTGCTGGGCATGGTGGCATGTATCTGTTATCCTAGCTACTGGGGAGGCTGAGGCAGGAGAATTACTTGAACCTGGGAGATCACGCCACTGCACTCCAGCCTGGGCGAAGAAGTGTGACTCCGATTCAAAATAATAATAATAATAATAATAATAATAATAATAATAAGGCTTCAATGACCAACCAGCCCTAGCCTACCTTTCCAACCTGAGCTTTGAGAACTTCCCTTCCCTTGTATCTATTAACTTACTTGTATCTATTTCCTACACTACTTTCATGCTTCTGTGGCTTAGCTTATGCTACCTGATATGGTTTTTTTGGATGTTTGTTCCCTCTAAATCTCATGTTTAAATATAATCCCCAGTGTCAGAGGTAGGGCCTTGTGGGGGGTGTTTGGATCATAAGTGCAGATCCCTCATGAATGGTTTCGCACCACTCCCTTGGTGATGAGTGACCTCACAGGAGATCTGATTGTTTAAAGGTGTGTGGTACCTCCCCCCTGCTCTCTCTGGCTCCCACTCTCACCATGTGACATGCTGGCTCTCCATCACCTTCTGACATGAGTAGAAGTTTCCTGAGGCCCTCAACAGAAGCCAAGCAAATGCTGGTACCATGATTGTACAGTCTGCAAAACCATAAGCCAGTGAAACCTTTCTTTATAAATTACCCAGCCTCAGGTTTTCTTTATAGTTACACAAGAATGGCCTAACACATCACTCCCTTCACTAGAATGTCCTTCTTTCTTTGGTCCACCTGGTAAACTCCTATTCATCATTCTTCAAGGTTCCACTTCATATTTCCCCAAATACCCCATCCCCAGCCCTGAAAGAATAATTGTTCCCACAGCTGTGTTCTCATACATTTCTTCATTACAGAACTAACTACAGAGCTTCACAGAGTTATTTGTTGACTCACTGCCACACCATGAATTCTTCAAAGGAAGAAACTGTATTATTCATCTCTGTAGTCCTAGAGTCTAATTCAGTGCTTGGATCATAGTTGGATGCTCCATAAATCTGTGTTAAATGAACATATTAATACATCTTTTCCTGTTTGCAGTATCCAATTAGGCTGCATCTTCATTATCATTGCAGTATGTGAAAACACATGTTATATACCAAAGAACATACAGCAGCTTAGTGACACATATGGAGTTTGCACTTCTACTGAAATCATTTTCAGTTCTGACAGCTGTTAAAGTGTGAACAATGCACTGCCTATAATAAGGACCTATATACATCTGCTATTCTGTCAACATCATGACTGCCTTCATTTTCAAAGCTCATTTGCCAAGCTGCATTTCCTACCATTTGCTCATCCACCCATTCATCCACCCACTCACTCTTTCATTCAGGCCTATCTCTTTCAAAAAGAGATTGAATGTACACATTTCAGGTTACCTATCAACATCTTCTATCTGCCAATCCATTTCTGTTCTATCTAATGCAATTAATGAATTGCAGGAATGTCCAAGTCCATTAAACTGAACAATTTCAATTCCATATTATTTCTTGAGAGTAGAGACTTTATCTTCATTGTATATCAAAAAAGTTCTCTTCACTAGAACTTTCTAAAGTCAAAAAGCAACCTAATATTTTGTGTCCTGATATTGTATGATATAACATCATGAAAAGTAAATTCTATATCTGAGTATGTCATACCACTAATCCTCCTATTCATTATGTTTGTCAAAATGAATCCTCATGGAAATAAGCCACTCTTACGAGACAGGAAATGCACACGTGTATCTGTGCTAACACCAAAGATGTACCTGAAGTGTTCCCTTACTGTTCTGTCTTTAGGGAGGATAGAACATCTGGCTTGAAGGTTCACTCCTCAGAGAATTCACTGTGAGCAGCAGGTGGACTCACCTGGCGAGTTCTGAGGAGATGACACGGGAGAGCCACGTGGGGACTGACAGTAGCTGGGGTGGAGTAAGGCATGTGGAGGCACATACGACATTATCTCTTCTTCAAATAAGCTGGGGAAAGACAAGAAACAAAACGGGCACTTCAGCCAAAGTAGTGGGGAAAAGCCTAAATCCCAAAGGAGTAGAATATTCCATCCAAGATCCGGTTTATATCCCAAAGAGAGCATCCGCCCCCTTTCTCTTGCAGGTAATTCTTGGTACAAAATGGCTGGCTGTGGTGCTTTTTGTGAACCCTGTGGCTATTTCCCTGTTTTCCTACCAACTTTGGACAACGTGACTTTATTTTACTATTTCAACATATGAGTTTGAGTGTACATGTTTGTTTGAAAATCATACCTGGGTTTTCAGATTTGGAAACAGGATTCCAACACAAAATAGAAAATGTTTATTGAGAACCCATCATAAATATACAAAGTATGTTCTATATCCTCATTCCAAGAAATAAACAATAGGGTCTCAGCCTTCGAAGGGCTTAGGATTTAATTTGATAATTAAAAGCAAAATAAAACAAAACACCTCTTAAATAACTACAATCACAAAATAATTAGCTCCCTTGTTTACCCTGGCTACTATTTTTCACATGTGAGGATTTGGATCTTAGACCATTTAATGTCTTCTTTCTTCTCCATACTGAAATGTCTGTTTCTGATATTCTCCTAAAAGAGAGTAACCAGAGACCTGAGCTCTTTTCAGCTGTACAAGACAGTGTCAGTTTGTACTCCAATAAGACTGTAGAAACTGCAATGCCACTAAGCCCAGACAATATGAGAGTTCTTATGTATCATTAGGTATTCAGACTTTTGGACTCTTACAAATCTAATACTGTGAAATGGTATCTCATTATTTGAAACTACACTTACATTACTAGCATCTTTCCATGGGTTTATTGGCTATTCATACTTCCATTTCTATGCCTTTTCATAACCTTTATCCATTTTTCTATTGGGTTCTCTTCTTTTAAAGGCCTTCTTTATGTATCCACAATCTGGTTTCCTTTTTTTTTTTTTTTTTCTGAGACAGAGTCTAGCTCTGTTGCATGGCTGGAGCGCAGTGGCACAATGTTGGCTCACTGCAACCTCTGCTTCCTGGGTTCAAGTGATTCTCCTGCCTCAGCCTCTTGAGTAGCTGGGACTACAGGTGCGAGTCACCACGTTCAGCTAATTTTTCTATTTTTTTTTTTTTTTTTTTTTTTAGTAGAGATGGGGTTTCACCATGTTGGCCAGGTTGGTCTCGATCTCCTGACCTCATCATGATCCGCCTGCCTCGGCATCCCAAAGTGCTGGGATTACAGGCGTGAGCCACTGCGCCTGGCTGATCTCTTTGTTTTACATGTTGTAAATCTATTCTTCCAGTTGATTATCTTTCTTTATGCCTTTATATGTGGTATCTTTCATTATATCCATTTAAAAATATTTATGTAGCCAAATTTATCAATCATTTCTTGTATGAGCTCTGATAGAGGTATATTTTTTACATGAATTGAGTTAGTGAAAAGATACATGAAACACAAAAATCAATAACAAATTAAACAAGGTCATTTAAAAATTATTGGGTTTTAAAATAGCCCTATTGGAAAATAACTTTACATGCGTTTATTCTGAATTGAATAATGTCCTAGAGCAACACTATCTCTACATTGCAGCTTACTGATAAGTCAATTTGTACCAGGAGTGATTTTTCCTTTTTAAGAAATCAGACAAAACATTAAAATAGACACAAAGGCTTCCATTATGTAAGTGACAAGTATGCTGACTGAAGTTTGTAGTCACCAATTCAAATCATTCCAATTCCAAAGTGAAATAAAAAATAAAGGGCTGAGCGCTGTGGCTCACACCTGTAATCCTAGCACTTTGGGAGGCCGAGGAGGGCGGATTGCCTGAGCTCAGGAGTTCTTGTCCAGCCTGGGCAACACGGTGAAACCCCGTCTCTATTAAAATACAAAAAATTAGCCGGGCGTGGTGGCTTGCACCTGTACTCCCAGCTACTCAGGAGGCTGAGGCAGGAGAATTACTTGAACTCAGAGGGTGGAGGTTGCAATGAGATGAGATCTCACCACTGCACTCCAGCCTGGGCAACAGAGCGAGACTGCACCTCAAAAATAAATAAATAAATAATTGAGGACATGAATAAAACCCCAAATTTTTCAATAATCACTAATTATATTACTTATTAAGCATGTACATATAATACATTGTGTTGTTTACTATTATTAAAATAATAAACACATGTGATCACCCACATGAAAAGCCTAGAATTTAATGACATCATTTGTATACAATAATTATAGAACTATTATATGTAAGAAAATTTCTCACACTTCTCCAAAGGCCCATTAGCTTTACAGAACCTGCTTATTTTCCCAAAGAGGAGAAAATGCAGCCTTGCTCTTTATGTATGAATGAGTTCTGAATTATTTGAATTCAAATACATTTGAATTCTACTACTTAACACATAGAAACTCATGCAAACTGTTGTGTTATCAAAGTACAAATATTATAAGCTATAGTAAAATAAATTTAAGACTATACCATCTAAATATTATTTAACTATGGATAGGTGAATGATAATTATGACTTCTGTTTTTACTAATTCCCAAAGCAGAATTCTTAGTTTAAAAGAAAAAAACCTTAGCTTTCTATAGTGAAGAAAAAGAGCATATCCTGGCCAGAATTCTGTTAACAGAAACTTCAACTATTTTATCACCAACCAAACCATGATAGAAACATCACACTCTAACGTTAATTGACCAGTAGTCTTCCTGACCACCTAGCATACTATATGCTGGTTTCACAACTGGCTCAATACCACAGGAGAGAGGCCACCCATTAGGTTGAGAAGCTACCCCCACCATAGGTCCTATTCAGAGTCAACTGAAGTGAAGTATCTATAGAAAGTGAATATATCCCTTTGAGTTATGCTTTGACTACACACAAAGAAAAATAATTTTCTGACAACAATCACATGGGAGGTCAGAAATATGGCAACAAATATGGCAACTATGGAATGGAGAATTAGAAATGGTCAGGGTCAAGATCATCATGAATACTTGAATGAGGTTATTAGCACTCAGGGATAAACAAAACCTTGCCTGAAAGGCTCAGTATGCTGTTCCTTTTAATTCTCTGGAGGTTACAGGGATGAGCGTCCCAACCACTGGGTAGAGCAAAGCATTATTTTACTATGGCTTGCCTACATTTGAGGGATAATAAAAAAATGAGAAAGTCTTTTGAAAACTTGCCAGTTTCCTTTCTAAACTACTCTAAAATTTAAAACCAAAGCTGATTTAACCATTGGAGGGTGAGGGGCGGGGGTGAAAATAATTGGTCAGTTTTATGAAGGGCTATCAAGTTGGCAATGAGTAGCATAGACCAAATGTCAACTTTCTGATCTGATTTCCCAAACGTACACCCTCAAAACCACAAGGTAAATAAATAATGCCTTGAGTCAGCAAAAGGGGACAAAACATATTTTGAGAAAAACATTTGAAAGAATATTAAACTGAAAGGGTAAACACTGAGGGGTAAACGGTGGATGCCTTGTTCAGATACCCTTCTGTTCCATTCTGTGAGTGGGAGATTCTATTCATTACAACCTTTCCCTTTTCCAATACCATCTCCCTTGCCAGCAGGGTGAAAACAAAATTAAACAGATCTCAGTGTAACAAATGGCAACGTGAAGTGAATGATCACTCAATCAGCACCCTAAATCTTCAAAATATTTCCACAAGTCTAAAGAATAAGAACAATTTTTAGGCTATGAATATTGGCATATTATTTTCTACAATGTTCCATGATATCTGATGACAAGAGACCTTCTGCTTCAAGAGTGAGTGTTACGTATGTACCTCAGCAACATAACAAGGTCTGCATCGCTTGAAAGGCGCACCAATCCTGGAGTCCCTTCAGTTCGGATAAATTGGATCTTCTCCCTAATCAAGAAAAGAAACAGCACAAAATGTATATGGTAGACCTTTAGGCTATAACTCAGTAGTAAAGAGCATTTTTTATAATAGTCATGATGTTTTTTGGTACCTATTATGTGGCAGCTACTGTGTAATACCCTAGGAATACACATCCAAGAGAGACATGGTCTTTGCCTTCAAGGGGGGGGATCTTGTAAGCATCAACACCTCCCAGTTCTAATGTTGTGGGGAGAAAGATTCTTTCACTGGCTTCATCATTTTGCTGCCCAAGTACTATAAATAGTATACTATTCAACCAATAAAATCAGTGTCTGCTTTGAGTTAAAGCTGACTGTGGGCCTGAATTTTAGCGATATAGTCTTACGCTGATGCCCTGCTGTTCCAAAAAGGGATTGTGTTGGGAGAGTCATCTATTTTCCTGAGGCCATACCTTTAAGTTGCATGTGATGAGCTCATTCCTAATTGGAAGCAGATAGTATCTATGCATTATATATTCAGTGTAAAAGCATATGTATATATTCAGTGTAAAAGCATATGCCTTTTTTAAATAAAGAAAAAACTGAAATACTTTGCTACAACAGTTGGTGAAATAGATTGTGTGCATACCTGTGCAAATGTATATATACATATACATATCAAACACAAGGTGAGTTATTTCTACCATTATTTTGTTATAGGTAAATGTGATACCAGCTTTTTTCTTTTTTGTTTGATGAGTCATCATCATGTCACTATTTTCAATTTGTTATATGAATACAATTTTAATAATTTTTTTCCTAGTTGCTTTCTTCCCTTATTTACATCATGCTATTTCAAAGCACACCATATTAACTTTTATAAGATGAAGAAAAATATAAAAACACAAATTATGGTACTAAAATCATTCTATTTCATTGGAATATACAGGATAATGCAAATATGCAATTTTATTCTGAGTGCTATGGACAATATATTCTGATTCCTATACCATAAAGTAAAATACCAATCACTGATACAAGTATTTATTTAGATTTAGTTCTTATCTACAAGCAACTTGTTTTTCTACTTGATATTTTCACAAAGTTCCACTGATTTTTTTGTTTGTTTGTTTTGAGACAGGGCCTTACTCTGTCGTCCAGGCCAGAGTGCTGTGGCATGATCTTGGCTCACTGCAACCTCTGCCTCCTGGGTTCAAATGATTCTCCTGCCTCAGACATTTGAGTAGCTGGGATTATAGGCATGTGTCACCACGCCCAGCTAATTTTTGTACTTTTGGTGGAGATGGGGTTTTGCCATGTTCGCCATGCTGGTCTCAAACTCCTGGCCTCATGTGAGCTGCCTGCCTTGGCCTCTCAAATGCTGGGATTATAGGCGTAAGCCACCATGCCTGGCCAAGTTGCACTGATTTTTATATTCCCAAATTTGAAATATTTTTCTTAAGATTGCTTGCTGACTTGAAGGCACTGAGGTGGAAGGCAAGGTTTCATGTTCACATGAAAAATTCCCTAATGCATAGAAAAGTCAATGGATTTGCCCTTAGCCACACAGCTTATGAGGTATGACAAACAGAGTTCAGTCCTTGGTTTCTTCTGGCTAGATCCATTTTATATGATAGATGAAGCAGCTAATCTTTAGTATTTGCCAAACTTTCCTTTCTGTACTTTATTGCCAGCAGCTAACTACTATTTTTTTTTTAAAGACTATTAGAAATTAGTGGTAGGCATGTACGTAAAGGAGTTGCTCAGAAGGCCAGCCTCTCTCTGCTTAAGGTTATTTCAGTGAAGGCTTGAACCAGGCAGAACATTTTCCCTCAAGTTTTGGAATCATACATCTGAAACACGTGATGGAAACCCAGGCCCATTATCTGGTGAATGGTTTTTCTGATAAGAGATGTAAATGTTGGCTGATAAAAGCTAAATCAGAGGAAAGTTATCTTGAAGAAAAATGAATAATAACTTAACCAAAGAACTACTCTTATAAGGGTCAGTAACACCATGCTTTGATCTTGAAGAATCAAAAGCTATCTCCCACAAATATGCAGCTTATCTCTTTTGTCTATCAACACAGTGAATCCAGGCAAACAGAACAAGACAAAAAACAAACAGGCTGAGCACTCTCCCCTCCTTCCTTAACTGGAGCTACACAGAAGGAGTTGAGTGATGGTAGATATCAGGCCCTGGTCTGCGGCTTGGAAGTTTCCTGTGAATAAGAAAAACATCATCGCTTCTTGAGTCACAAGGATGATAGGATGAGAAAAAGAAAGGACAAAGGCACCAGAGGAGGTATGCCAAATGGGAAACTTTTCATCACTTTCCAGATAAAAACTAGCAGTCTGTGAAGGCAACTGGTCTGATTTTTCAGGTAAGAACATATGAGAGGCAGGCTGAGACCAATTTTCTACCAGGCCAGCTAATTCATCACAATGACAAGCTATGGGTCATATGCTTTCAGGAACCAGACACTGGAACATGTCGTCTGATGTACATCACACCAGTAAGTACTTTCTTATGTTGATATTGAGTCATTCTTTCAGTGAACATTTTCTGCGTGCCTATTGTGTGCCAGTCATGGTACCACACGCTGGGAATCCAATGGGGAGTAAGAGAAAGTCCCTTTTCAAGGAGCTTACAGTGCAGTGGAAGAGAGAAAGTTAAAAGGTAATTCTCATTTGATGTGAAAATATTTAAATTCTTCTGTTCACTTAATTGAAGCGTGGTTAGGCTTTATACCTTCTCCCGGTCTAAACAGTTCTTTATAAAGTCCTTTCACGTAGAAACAAAGAAGGCATTAGTTTACTGCCTGTAAAGAGAGCAGATCAAGGCTGAGGAACAGACAGAAGTCAGCAGACGTCCTGGAAATGTCACCAATCTTTTCTGAGAAAAACAAAGGAACCACTTCTTGGTTACCAGGTATTTGCCCAATATGCTATAGACCAGTGATTCTCAAACTGGCATCCTTGGTCTACTAGAAATTTGCATACATAAGCTCAAGCTCTGCAAGAATTTTTAAATTTTGTGTCTTCACTTCGATGATCAAAGCACATGAAACAATATAATAATATTTTAGATGAGATGGATGACATTTATGACTGAATCTTGCCATATGACTTCGGGTCCCATGTTTGTATTTATAGGGCACTTGGTGCAAAGTGATCAGAGGTGAGCTTTTAAAGGGACGGCGAACACACCTGGCTGCCCTTAGGCTGTCAGGGCCTTGATGTTCAATATGATAATAACACCAGTCCCCATCTGCCACTTACGCACACTTCGCTTAGCAATTAAAAAAACCTTTTCTCTTACAGTATTAACTTGCATCATGAAAATGATCAAGTGGGGTTAAGTAATGTATATGTAAATTACCACAGGCTAAAGAGAAAATAAAAGAGATGGATTTAAAAAGAAAATTATGCATTCATGCTAAATAATGCATAAAAGATATCCTGGCTTATTCTAAGAACAAAAGCTCTGCAATAGTTTGCAAATAGAAAAGTGGTGGTAGAATCCACTCATCCCAAGGCACATTCAATGATATGTTTTATCCTTCAGTATTGTATTTCAGGTTACACTATTAAATGAATTGGCTTATCAAACCAATGAATCAGTAGATAAAAATAAGCTTTTTGTTAAGAAGGAAAAATGATGACTGATAATTCCAAGGAGGCACATGCTAGGCCAGAGATGCAAAAAATCAAAAGAATCAAGTCAAACACAAGCACAGAAAGGTGCAAATGTGTCTTTCCACCAATAATGGTCTCAACATTGGTGATTTGGCTTCTGAAAAACAAAGTATCCTCATATTAATAGCATTAATTCAAATGTTATTGATTTTTTCTAGTTTTTAACTTAATTTGTATGTCTTTTGGTTTTGTAGTTTATAAAAGCTGTAAGCATAAGAGGTTTATACATATTTTATATTTGTACACATTTAAGTTTAAAATAAAAGTGACTAACGTCAACATTATAGGTCCGCAATATTTCTTTTTCCTTTTAGAGTGGAAAAATAACAGATGTGACTCTTACAAATTTTCATGAGTCCACCCAGCGTTTGGAATAACATAACAAGTTTGAGAAATGTTGTTAAAGACAACTGATCATGATTAGAGGAATGTTTGAAAATTACTTTAATATATTTATTCAAGTTTATAATGTATACAGTTAGAAGGAATCTGTGGCAGTCCTCTCTGTTGCCCAGTCTAGAGTGCAGTGGTACAATCATAGCTCACTATAGCTTCAAACTCCTGGGCTCAGGTGATCCTCTTGCCTCAGTCTCCTGAGTAGGTGGGACTACAGGTATGTACCACCACACCCAGCTAATTTTTAAACATTTTTGTAGAGACAGGGTCTTGCTATGTTGTCTGGGCTGGTCTTGAACTCCTGGCCTCAAGTGATCCTCCTGCCTCAGCCTCCCAAACTACTAGGATTATAGGAGTGAGCTACTTACTGCATCAGCCTGGCTTCTTCTTAACAAAGAAATTCAATTCAACCTCAGTGGTAATATAATGAAGATTAAGGTTATACTAATACAAAGTATTATCATTTGGCTCTCTCTACATGGGTACGTTTATCTCTCTGTGCCCCTTAGAGTACATTCTAGCACTTTTATGGGTACACCTTCTGATTTGGCTAGTGAGGTACAACTTAAATTCCTTTTGAAACATAAGTTTCTTCAGGGCAAAAGCCCTTGCTCCTTTATCTTTTTTTTTTTGAGATGGAGTCTCACTGTGTCACCCAGGCTGGAGTGAAGAGACCCAATCTCGACTCACTGCAACCTCTGCCTCCCGGGTTCAAGTGATTCTCCTGCCTCAGCCTCCAGTGTAGTTAGGATTACAGGAATGCGCCACCATGTCTGGCTAATTTTTGTATTTTTAGCGGAAATAGGGTTTCATATGTTGGCCAGGTGAACTCCTGACCTCAAGTGATCCACCCACCTCGGCCTCCCAAAGTAGCTGGGATTACAGGCACGAGCTATGGTGCTCAGCCCGTCCTCCTTTATCTTTGTGTTCCCCAAGTACAAAACACTTTTCTGTCTACCTGATAAGTGCTTAGTAAAATACAAAGCAGGGACATGATTAATTTAGGCCAAAATAACGTATGTGGCTCCTAACAATTTCCACCCGGTGTTTGGAATAAACAATCTTGCTATCTTTTTTTTTTCTTTTTTTCCTGTGGCAGAGAAATAAAAAAAGAATTGGAAAGCCAATGTCCAATTATTTACTAAAACAGAATCCACTGGAGAGAAATGCAAAGGCAGGTAAAAAGGCAATCTCTTAACATGAAAACTCACAACTGTAAAATGAGAACCTAAACTATACAGCGACAAACTCAGGAAAAAGTCTCCAGCTACTGCTGTCTCTCAGACTCTCACAGTATGTGTAACCACTTCCTCCTCTGCACGGAATCACCCCAGAAGATCAACTCTACTAGATCATTTGAGGACAATGAACAAAGTCTCAAGACTGAATTCCCACAGAAAACATTCTCATGAAACCACCCAATATTCTGGTGAAGTTAAAGAAGGGCATGTGTTCGGAGACAACCAGAAGCAGCAATGCTCAAAACCACAAAACTCTGGATTGCCGACTCTGCACATCCTGGTTCCTCTAGATACAGTTCAGTGGCACATTCACAAATAAACGTTTTCAAAAACTGCCCTCAGGCAGTTCTAGAGAAATGCTTTGACTTGCCTAATGGTATAATGTCAAGAAAGGAAGACGAGCACTGATCATTCATACTCATTATTACAGTCACAGGGCACTGTCTGACTTGACAGATACAGCCGAGCAGTTAAAAGGTTATGGGAATTTAAGTCCATTATGGTCATACGATTCTTATGGACCCAGAGATATGAAATTAATCAGCCACATGTGTAGGGACAAAGTTTGTCATAAATAGATATAAGTTATCTGCATGCTAAGAACTTAGTTACTTAACTCTGTTTCCTCATGTTAATATAAACATAATTATAGAATGCAAATGAAATACTTAGCCTGGAGCCTATTATATAGGAAGCACTCAATAATTTCAAACTATTGAGTATATTATTAGATAGGCTCCATAATTATTTATTCCTTTTTCAACAGACAGTATGATCTATTGAAAATAAAGCCAAACTAGATTTCTTTGACCCACTCCTTTTTCTGTTTGTATTGTTGGCAAGTTGTTCTAAATCAACTTGCCAACATACTATTAACATGTTATTAACATAGAAGGGATGCTTATTTTGTTTGCTTTGTAAGAAATGCTTCTGATTCAGTAACTGGGCAATTTATTTAAATATAAGTAAAAAGCAGATTTTATTAAAAACTACTTTGTGCTATCATAAATAACTCATTGTTCTCTGTGATTCAGAAGTGGATTTATTATTCTTTTGGGGTTGGGGAAGGCACTGAGACTGGTTTCAGCACTGATATTTTGCTTTGGTCCACAGACAGTCCAAGTCTAATGAGTTACTAAAGGAAAATGACATTTTACTGAACTGTTTTCTTCATAAATATAACAGAATGTAGGAAAAATCAACAGTAAAACAGATGTACCTAAAATATTATTATTCCTCATGTAAGAAAACCATCTTGAAAATCATGATTGAACCACTTATTAGCAAAAAAACACAATACTTTGGAGAAATATCCAGTGGATGAATGCATGTATAATTTGGGGAATCTTTCAAAGTTACATCAGAGAACAATGTTTATCAGAAAATAATTTAACAAATATCTGAGAGTGATACTATGAAAAGAACCTAAACTAATTTTGGCTATTGGAGTTCCTGTTTTGGGCCTTTTAAATTTTAGGTGATTGACTGTCCAGTTGTCTTCAAGTTGACATTAATAGTTAAAAGAGATTCCATGCATCAAAAATGTGAAAATTAGATATATACGTGATATACAATTCAAAAGCATATGCAGATCTATAAATTAGTACATCCATTCAAATAAAACATGACTAGCACTTATTCCTTTTGCAGAAGTCATAGAATAGATGACAGGTTCTAAGAATCTGTGTTCCTTACTGCCCTGAAGAAGAAAGTCTCTAATCTCTTAATAGGCCTACAAGATAATTAGTTCCTTGGAAAGGTATTTTAATATACCTTTGGATGGCTTCTAAAACGTTATCTTAATGATATTGCCATGATATTTTGGCCCTCAGTAATTTCCAGCTAAACCTTGAGCCAGAAGGCTCAGTCCTCAGTCTAGGCATGGAGCAGTCAAGGCTGGTTTTATTGTGTAAATGTAAAATATTTTAGAGTAACGCTCCCTGTAGGAAACAATGTGACAGCACCACTAAAAAGCCCTCCTATAAACAAATTAATAGTTGAATTAAAGATGGCCAGGCAGGGTGGCTCACGCCTATAATCCCAACACTTTGGGAGGCCCAGGAAGGCAGATCACTTGAGGCCAGGAGTTCAAGACTGGCCTGGCCAACATGGTGAAACCCCATCTCTACTGAAAATACAAAAATTAGCCGGGCATGGTAGTGCATTGCTGTAGTTCTGGCTACTCAGGAGGCTGAGGTACAAGAATTGCTTGAACCCGGGAGGCAGAGGTTGCAGTGAGCCGAGATTGTGCCCACTGCACTCCAGCCTGGGTGACAGAGTGAGACTCTGTCCGCTCCCCACCCCCAAAAGGAAAAGAGATCCTAGATCCTAGTTGCATTTAAATTATATCCACAGAATCACACTGGTCCATTTATATGCATGATTAATTTCAGGAATAGTGGTTTTTAGAATTAGAGTAAGTTTAGGGGCAAATTACTTTAAACTGAGTCCTTCTGATAGAACAAAGAAGTGAAGGGCACACTACTAATATAATATTGATTTAAATTTACTATATGCTTACTATGCTTACACAGTATCAAATGGTTTATACATATATTATTTCATTTAATCTTCAAAAAGATGCTGGAAGTTAGAAATTCCGATCCCCATTTTACAGACGAGGATGACAACTTGGAGGTTGTTTAATGTCTCATTCGAAGTCACCTGGTGGGTAAATTGCAGAGCCAGAATTCAAACCTAGGCCTTTCTGGCTCCAAACCTGAACAAAATCTTAAGAGCTATACTCAACTACCTTCTAAGAGCCATTACTGCTGCTCTCCCAGTGAGACAGAGTCTACTATTAGGACTTCCCAATGACCATTACTATGTGGTGTCAATAAATTATTTTAATCAGGTGTCCAGGCACAGTGGCTCATGCCTGTTATCCCAGCACTTTGGGAGGCTGAAGCAGGAGGATCTCTTAAGCCCAGGTATTCAAAATGAACCTGTACAACATAGCAAGACTCCATCTCTATTAAAAAAAAAAAAAAAAAAACACAAAACAATTAGCGGGGCAAGGTGGTGTGCTCCTGTAGTCCCAGCTACTTGGAAGGCTGAGGCAGGAGGATGGCTTGAGCCCAGGAGGTTGATGCTGCAGTCAGCTGTGATCGCGACACTACACTGCAGCCTGGGCAACAGAGTGAGACCCCCTGCCTCAAAAGAAAAAAAAAAAGGTGTCTTTAAAAATTCAATAATTATCCCTATGTAAACTGTCTGTAGGAAAATAATAGTCTCAGTCCAGATTTGCTATTATTTAAGTTTGGTACAGCAAAGATCAGAAGTTTGCCATGTTGGTCCAGACATCTGAGTGATAAGTAAACAAATCAGGAGAGGACTAAGGGAGAGAGCTAGGCAGGTCTTAACAGGAAAATGCATATGGATCATCAGAAGTAAATTCATGCTATTTTCACCAAGTACTTCAGTTGTTAACCAAGACTAACATTTCCAGTCTAATATTATATGCAGAAAAATTCATTTGCCACAAAGCTAGAAAAGAAATAGGTTAGCAATTTTGAACACTAGGGTTTATCTTAAGAAAGATAGCTTTTGAAACTTTAACTTTTTATTAACTAAAATTCTGTATTGTTTGATAAACTTCAAAATGGGCCATTATTTTTAAAATAAAAAAATTAAGAGTAAAATTAAACTCTAACAAAACCCCAGGGCTCTTCAAATAGGATAATGAAAGGAAATAGAAGGTTCAAGTCTGCATTTGCCTCTAGTCTGGTGAATCCTGAGACACATATCCATTTGCCTTTTGTGGTTCAGAATTTCTTGACTCCCAAGTTACTGATTTCCTGATAACATAAAATATGGAATGATCTAATCTACCCAGAATGAAAAAATTATCACAGATCATGTCCTCATGGTGAGGGGAGTTATATAGGAAGCACTCAAGGAGGAAACAGCCTGCTGCCAAAAATAATCACTGGTGCCTGGGGAGAGCTGGACTAGTAGGGAACAGATTTACTGGCTGGACTTAATAATCATATTAGAGGGGAAATTCTCAACTCTTAACTCAGGTTCATGGCCTTTCTCATTACATAGTGCTATACAAACACCAATACTAAAAATTTTATTGAATTTTTAAATGTGCATTACATTCACCTATAAAATACTGTTAAAGGTTGTTTTCTAATGAATATATTTGTATTCGTATAAAATGTTAGAACTTTTTTTCAGCTTTTATTTTAGTGTCATAGCATACAAACATCTTCTTTCAGTGAGAACCAGTAGTAGCATATAATAATGCCATGGGGACACTACCCATTTTACAGATGTGGTACTGACGTTTGGAAGCTGATTTTTCTAACAGGGGAAATAAACATCTCCTGAGGTTTGTTTAAAAAAAAAAAGGACAGCAACTTAGTACCATTCACATTTGCGTGATAAATGAATTTATAGGGAGCAGTGATTTAAATACAGCAGTTGAAAGTAAAAGCCATATCACAATGCATGGAAAACCATAGCCACATAGACAGGAAGACACACCAGTGAAGTCTCAGGGAAGAGAAAACTATACATAGATGCAAACTAAATGAATTGCCTGCTATCCTCTGGCTTAGGATGAATCACAAGCAAACCAAGAAAACACAAAGTAAAGAGGTATACCTACTTCAATCTCTCAAGGGCTACCACTTTTATCATTATATTATGGGAAAAATAAGAAGGAATATTTATCTTAAGTGGTGTGCCACAGATGAGAAAGGACATATGCCAAGCTATGTTGGTACTGGGAGTCCTTGCTCCAGGTATGAATATAAGGTCCACAGTGAACTTTGACACATAGATTACTGAGTGGCTCCATTCCATGTATAAATCTGTTATCAAAAATATCATTGAAATAGGAAATTAAAGAAGTTCAGCCTATTTCCCACCCCTGTGTTTGTGGGAATGCTCCTCACAACTATATAAAACAGAATGTTCTCTTAGATATACAAACTTCCCCTTTACGATGTTATGATAAGCAAAATATTTAACTCCCAAAAACTTGACAGAAAATGAAAGTGCAGTGTGACACACACTCTGGATAGGAGGAGTGGTATTATCTCATTGATTTACTTTTACTTATCATGACAGCATCTGCTTCCCATGGTCACATTCTGTAAAGATGGAAATATATTTCATAGCCTATCAAATAATTGCATAAAAATAGATTACCATGTGAATCCTATGTTAGAAGAAAGATTATGCTTAACTGAGGACTCTAGATGCCACTAAAAAAAAATCTTCAACATCTTTAGGAGATTAGAGACTTTTCAGACTCTAAAAAGCAGAAAGAAAACAAAACAAAACTTGAAGCTACCAACTTGGGCCTGCAGCTTTTCCCTCTGTTAGGATCTGTTAAGATTCTGTCAAGTCATTAAAGACTAATGACAAATGCCCTGTCCAGGTAGATTAGATCACCTAATCTCTCTGATGGTGGAGATTTAAAGATATGTTAATTCGTATTACACACTAATGTGGAACGCAGAGAAAAAGTGAAAAACTTCTTGAGTTTCCTGTTTTGTGGGGGATGGGGTACACTTAGAGGAACAGATATTAACTAGTGGCATGTGTTGGTTGGAAGTGGTAGAAGAGAGAGAAAATAGAGTTCCCTTTATTTTGTGATTAGCAAAAGAGGAAGAATTTTGTTTGTTTTGCTTTGAGGTCTAGGATTGCTAACATTTCTAATTAGATCACTGAGGGGCTTGTTTCTGCAATTTTTTAGAACTAAAACTTCTTACACAAGATTCTCTAGGGGAACGTGGATTACTGAGTGGATGCCATAATAAACAAACATGCAAAATCTTCACTTGCATAATTATTATAATTTTTCCGTGGTTAAGAACAGCATGCTTATGTTGGGGAAGGCACTAAGAGTTGAGTCAAATGTTATTAACCATGTGAAACCAGGTGAAACTGGGATTTTTATATACACAGTGTTTATAGTATAATACTTGAAATTTTTTGTAGCTTTAGCCTTTACAAACTTTAGAAGGTAATGACAACTTTAAAGACATGAGACCAAGGTCAGGCACAGTGACTCATGCCTGTAATCCCAGCACTTCGGGAGGCCGAGGCGGGAGGATCACCTGAGGTCAGGCATTCAATACCAGCCTGACTAACATGGTGAAATCCCGTCTCTACTAAAAATACAAAAATTAGCTGGGTGTTGCGGTGGGCACCTGTCATCCCAGCTACTCGGGAGGCTGAAGCAGGAGAATCGCTTGAACCCGGAAGGCAGAGGTTGCAGTGAACCGAGATCGCACCACTGCACTCCAGCCTGGGCGACAAGAGTGGGACTCCGTCTCCCCCTACCTCCAAAAAAAAAAAAAAAAAAAAAAAAAGACATGAGACCAAGAATATCGTGAGTATATTTGGTAATTTATTTTCAAATCGACAACTATATACATATATATTTTTACATTCAGTATGTGCAAAATGCTATTCTAGATATTTGAACAGTAAGGAGGAAAAATAATGATGAGTTGGATAAGATCCCTATTTGCAAGGCTCTTAAAATCTAATTGGAAAATAACGCATAAGGACTTGAAAAGTCAAATCAAAACACAAAAGTCATAAAGTCAAACCAGTACAAAGGACAATGTGATACATTTCATGACTCATGATCAAAATAGTGTCAAGACCAAAGGTTATTGCAGCCAACTGTGCCATCAGAATTATACAGAGAGGTTTTGAAAAAATAATTCTTAGGCTCTACCCCAGACCTCTTGAATTAAATTTCTGGGTAGGGCATGGGAGAACAGGGGTATAAATTCTGAGAAGGGAGAGGAATTGGAGGAGGCATGACCTGGCATTTTGTATTATATAAAGCTTCCCAGGTGATACTGATGAAAACAGTTTGGCACAACTTAGTGGATCAGTATTTGGGAATCACTGCTGTGGGCCAGGATGGTACCACCAGGCAAATATACTTCTACCAGTAAAGGTGACAACTGGACTTGGGGTTAAGAAAGATTTTCAGCAGAAACTCTTCTTTTCCTATTCCCACTGATGCCTAGCACACTTAGATAGAGAAATACTAGCCTAGATCATGAAAGTGAGAGTCCACAGTGGAGTTGAAAGATTTCAAGGAGGGAAAGCTTCTGCTGGGTTTTAGTGGAAAAATCTTGCTTCCCAAACTTAGAAGGAGAGAAAAGCTTGCCAGGGAAGGGGAACAGCATGTATTCAGGAAAGTAAAACTGGGCTTGAGAAATGATGTTTTGAAAAGTTGTTTAGAAGAGAGGGCTCATGCAAGGTGAGGCTCAGTTTTAGAGAATATCAGATTCCCTACTTAGGTTCTAATCTGTTTTTATTATGGAAAAATGTGAATACCAAGTCTGGAACTCTATATATCTCAGTTCAATAAACTGTATGCTACTTTTGCTTACTCAAGTTACACTCAAAAAGTTATGTCATTAATTTCATTATAATCTGCACTTCTAGGATAAACGCTTGGCTTAAATTTTTTTTTCATATTTCGTTTTTTAAATAGGGTTCTGGGTTGTTTAGTTGATTTTATTCACCTTTATTTATTTTTTTTTTGAGACAAAGTCTCACTCTGTCGCCAGGCTGGAGTGCAGTGGTGCAAATCTCAGCTCACTGCAACCTCCACCTCCCAGGTTCAAGCGATTCTCCTGCCTTAGCCTCCCGAGTAGCTACAGGCACACACCACCATGCTCAGCTAGTTTTTGTATTTTTAGTAGAGACGGGGTTTCACCATGTTGGGCAGGATGGTCTTGATCTCTTGACCTCGTGATCTGCCTGCCTCGGCCTCCCCAAGTGCTGAGATTACAGGCGTGAGTCGCCGTGCCCGGCCGATTTTATTCAACTTTTATACTTAATAGAGAGAAGCCAGCACTACAATACCTGGTGATGATGACAAAATATTTGCATACAAGATGTTTTGCAAAGGATGTCAGAAAGAAAGAATAAATTTCCAAGACAACTATCAGTAAAACTAAGATTTAATGGTTTGTGCTTATGCAACTTGAACCAAATACCAATATTATTGTTACCTGAGTGAGTGATTCCTGGTAAGATCAGGTTGACGCTCCTGTAGAATTTCAAAGATATTGGGTTGACGTAGAAATGCAACAATCTTGTCATTGTAAGCTGAAAAAAAAATCAGAAAAGACAACAATTTAAAAAAGAATCTATTTTTAGTTTTATGTATATAAATCCAAACCTGTGTGCCCCACCGGGTTCAAGCAATTTTCCTGCCTCAGGCTTGCAAGTAGCTGGGATTATAGGTGCCTGCCACCATGCTCAGCTAATTTTTTTTTGTATTTTTAGTAGGGATGGGGTTTTGCCATGTTGGCCAGGCTGATCTCAAACTCCTGACCTCAGTTGATCCACCTGCCTTGGCCTCCCAAAGTGCTAGGATTACAGGTGTAAGCCACTGTGCCCGGCCTATAAATCCAAACTTTTCAAAATCATCTGTTTTTCAGCCAGGCATGGTAGCTCACGCCTGTAACCCCAGCACTTTCAGAGTCTGAGTTGGGAGGATCACTTGAGCTCAGGAGATTAAGACCAGCCTGGGCAACATAGTGAGAACTTGTTTCTATTGAAAAACAACAACAACAACAAAAAATAAATAAATGAAATCTGTTTTTCTGGCTAATATTACTTATACTCAAAGTTATAGTTTGGAACTAGACTGTGCCCACCACTATAGGTGCTTACATTCCAATTTGTATCTAACCTTTTATATGATTATTGGACTTAGGTCTGTTAGCTGTGGCTTAGTTAAACATTCTTAGTAAACTCATTTGACAAGCCATATTTATTATCAAATGGCAAGATGAGGTCACCAACGAGATTCTAGATCTTGATCATTTAAACTTACGAAAATCAGCCTCACAGAAATGACAAGTCAGAAATGAAAAACCATCTTCTGATTGATTAGCAGCCAGCCAGGGAGGTAAAGAGGCAGAACTCAATTTGCCAAAATGTACTAGTTGGCAGCAACAACTAGGACCAAAATGCAGAGGACAAACTATTCTAAAACTCTACGTGGAAATAAATGCCATTAAGCCACAAATAGCTCTTTACCAAACCAACTATACCAACAGCTACAACACAATCATCATCACGAACCATGAACAAAATGTGTTTAGAAAAATCTAAATCCCAGTCAAGGTTGGCTAAAGAAACTTAAAAATAGTTAATTAAAATTTATTAAGGATACCGTTAATACTCTTTTGTCAAGAAAATGAATTTGTTTACTTAAGATGATTCATCTTGATTATATTTGTTGATAATCATAAATAGGCACAAATATATTTAAATTCACAGAACTAGGACAGAGTGTCTAAATTCTTAAACATCAGAGATTCTGGTATAGGATATTATCAAGATACATGCCTTTCTTTAACAAATAATTAAACAAAAGAAGTATAATAATTCTGTAGAGATCTGCCATTTCCAATCTTACCTGCATCATATTGCCTATAACATATCTATTTTAGTTATGTATATTTATATATACAATAACAATTTTAAAGAAATACTACCTGCTAAAATGGAATACCATTGTCAACTCAAATGTTCCCTAAGTGCACGTTTCACTATATATGAATAATGAAGACACTTGGATAATTATTGAATCGGGGTTTATAGTGCGTCTGAGCTCAGAGCCCACATAACTGTCTAAGCAACAATTTTATAGTGCTTTAAAATTCCATGTGCAGTATTTAGTGTCATATTAGTAATAACATAAAAAAAAACCTAGACTGTTAGACTTCAACCCTACATTTCTTCTTATCCAGAGGTCAAGCTTCTTAGGTCATGGGCATTACATTGAATTTCATGACATTTTTTTTTTAATTTAAAGAAGACGTTTTAAAACAAAGATAAATGGAGAGCTGGTCTAATTTTTTTTTTTTTTTTTTTTTTTTTTTTTTTTTTTTTGAGATTGGGTCTTGCTCTGTCCCTAGGCTGGAGTGCAGTGGTGCAATCTCGGCTCACTGGAACCTCTGCCTCCCAGGTTCAAGTGATTCTCCTGTCTCAGCCTCCAGAGTAACTGGGCCTACAGGTGCGTGCCACCATGCCTGGCTAATTTTTTGTATTTTTAGTAGAGACGGGGTTTCACCGTGTTAGCCAGGATGGTCTTGATCTGTCGACCTTGTGATCTGCCCATCTCGGCCTCCCAAAGTGCTGGGGTTACAGGCGTGAGCCACTGCGCCCAGCCAACCTAGTCTAATTTAAGACGGAGCACGGAGCCCATATGGCCTCCCACCAGTCTGTCCACTCCACCTGCCTCAGGCGCTCCAGGTTTGGCAACCACTGATCTACTTCAACCTCATCCTTTTAATAACAACTCAAGTTGTTTTTCAGGCCTTTCTCCCACACTCATTTATTTTTATTTTACTATTTTAGAGGTTCTTGCTGCCTTCTATTTGTGACAAAAGCCCTTAAGAATGTGCTCTCTTTGATTGTTTATTTTGTGAGGCTGCTACAGATTCACACACCATTTAAATTCTGTCTTGGCCTTAAATATATACTAAGTATATGCTAGTCCAAATTCTTAATTTATAATGATTGCATAATGTATTACCTTAATAAATTATTTTTCCTTAACTTCAATAATCTAATATGATACCTCTACTCAGGAAAGGTAGGGTGGTATTAAAAAACAATCTCATCCTTTAGGATATTACAAGACAGAAGCCCTTTGAGACTCAAGTCTGTAGGATTTTGTTATACATTTCTTAAGGATAATGCAGCAATTTCTCAATATAGGGCAAAAAGTAGCAGGCTAACAACAGGGGAAGTATCAGCACAGTGTACATGGTACAGATAATGGCACAAAAGGACAGATGATTTCTGGAAAGGGATGACATACCCACTGGAACCATGTCCTGGTACTGTGGCCTACTGACTGTATTGAATGTACTGGATGGCCTGGGAAGAACTGGTGGTCCTGCATGTCGAGAATCTTCTCCTACCTGCAAACAGAAGCATCATTTATGTTCTGCACCAAGAGCCAGAATGCTCTATATCAGCATCCCAAACCAAGTTGTTCAAAATATTAACAATGAGCATAGTGAAGTACCACTTGATCAGAACAGATACCAGCTGTGGGGCTGAAGCAGGGTTCTTAGTTATTGAAAGCCTTGTTTTAGTGGCTAAATGGTGGGGGGAGTTGAGGCATCCACATTCTTGAGAGGGGCTGGGGCAGTGACTCTTTACCAAGTGGCACAGAAGTAGTTCAATCTGCTTATAATTACTGAGGCTGCAGCAGCTAAACAGCAGACTTGTTCATCAGGACTAACTTCTGCATTGACAGAGCACAGTCTGCAACAACACAATCAAAGGGAAGACTGAGTGGTATAAATGTTTTGGGGCAGTGCCAAGATATTTCTTCTTTTGGCTAAGGCAGGCCAGGGAATTCCCTGGCTCAGCAGAGGAGGGGTTGAAGAGCAGCAATCTTCATGTGGGGTTTCGAGTTAGTGTATTATCTCCTCAGGAGCAATTCTCCATGCCTATTAGAACACCTGGTACAACAGATCTTTCTGGTTTGAGCCTCCCACACCAGGGTGCTAATAGGAGCAGGTGTGGAGGAGCTAAATAGGGTTGTCCTAACCAGAATTATTTATTGCACCTAATATAGATTTAGAAACTCATACACACAAGTAGATAACCAAAAATACCCATTAACAGCCTTACCAGAAAACTCTAATGTTGTTTTTGCTTCTGCTTTAGCATTTTCCCCCATATTACAGAAATCTTTTGAGACAATAGCAGAACAGCAGTATAAGAGAGAATAAGAAAAAATAACACACTGTACTGGATTTATAAACTGGGATTTTGAAAAGAGAGTTTTATTCCACCCACAACCATTTGCAGCCCTTTTATCATGTTGCATCACTTGGGTATTTGCTGAGGATTTTTCTAAAGACTCTAATGCTGGAAATATCCTCCCCACCCTCCACCGCTTGCTTGTCCTTCAAGAATGCTCTCACTCATTCTTCAAAGCGTAGTTCAAACAGCCCCTCCTCGACAAGGTCTTCCCTCTCCTTCAAGCCCAAGTTAAATACAACCTCCTCTGAGCTCCCACAGAACAAACAGAACAAGCAGCTGCCATTGTGAACAGTTTATATTATTTGTCAATTATACCTCACTAAAGCTGGAAAGATATAAATAAAAAGAAGAAAACATGATTATCTAAAGGTATATTTTTCTTTCCCAACTATTAAAAAAGAAAATTTACAAAGCATTTTTCGTTCATATTTTTATTCATTTGTAGTAGGGTTTCATATTTTCCTTTCCTATTAAGAATGCGGGAAATGTGTGGGCCAGGCACGGTGGCTCACACCTATAATCCCAGCACTTTGGGTGGCCAAGGCGGGCGGATTACAAGGTCAACAGATCGAGACCATCCTGGCCAACATGGTGAAACCCCATCTCTACTAAAAATACAAAAATTAGCCGGGCGCGGTGGCAGGTGCCTGTAGTCCCAGCTACTCGGGAGGCTGAGGCAGGAGAATCTCTTGAACCCGGGAGGTGGTGGTTGCAGTGAGCAAAGATCGCACCACTGCACTCCTGCCTGGCGACAAAGCAAGACTCTGTCTTAAAAAAAAAAAAAGAATGCAGGAAATGTGTTATTTATTTGCATCCCTCATAACAGCAACCACTATGTTTCTTCATTGTAGCAGGTGTTTGGTGTTAACTTGTTAGATGGAAAAGACATCAATATTTCTACTGAATGGAATATTTGCTGAAGGAATATAAGACAGTGGCTCAAATGACTCATGTATGTAACTAGAAGTCTTCTCATCCTGCTTCTCTTGAGTTACTGGCTTTGAGGAATGAATACAGCTATTCTCTGGGGAGATCTGATCACTAAGTACAGATTGTTAGTCAGATAACTTATCATTTCAACACTCCAATATATACTTTCTCTCCTCACAGTATGTTGCCATGTCTCATCATTTCCCAGAAAAGCCAAAGGTCTTCTCCCTAAGACCTCAGTCTTTGCAACCAGACCAGCGGACAGTGGGCAATCCCTCTGATGGGCAGCACTTCAGGATGTGCATGCTTCCAACAGCTGTGTCAGAAAGGACACTCCCCCGGAAGGTTTAACAATGTGGAGGGCTGGACACTCAGTCTGTATGGACTTATCTCTGGGCCACTGCTCAGTTTCCAGCCATAGGAGGAAAAGTCTTAATGTATCCCTTAGGGTCCCTCTCTCATAAAGGCTACTACTACTAGACCATGAAAATATTCATGTTTTAAGGTAGAGGGGTTGAAAGAAAATGAAAGTATAGCTATTAATCTCATGCATGTTTTCCCAGAAAAATAGTCCTAACTAGACCAAACAGCCAGCTTCATACTGTGAAGTCATGATAAGGTGAGTGGTTAAAGGGCACGGGCTATGCAATAAAATATCAGACAGAGCCCTAATTGTGCTACACATCGCACACAAGGTCCAAAGGTGAGAGGTCTGTTCTGCTTTTAAGATGAATGTTGTTAGTGCCATTCAGTTCACCACTAATGGGTTACATGACAGCAAGGTAAAGATTTATTAGCTACTCATAAAACAGAAAAATTTTTGCACATACCTCATCCTGTAATATATTTGTATATCATTTTTATATGAGCTTCTCATGTGCACCCTTCTATATCTGCACTTACAACCAGCAAACACATGATGCATTGGAGCAAGTATATAAATCACGAGGGGAAATTCCAAGAGTAGAATTTTGATGAATCAGATCCAGTTATTTATTGTATTCATATTTTTTCTTATACAAAATATATGGCTACAAAGATATTTGATGTACAATATAATACTGAAAATATGACATGCACATAGACACAGAAAAGGCATGTAAAGGTGGGTAAAGGATCCAAATTCTATTGTCTAAGGGAATTTTCAGAAACAATGTAAATCAAGTGATGGTATATAATCAAATCATAAGCCCATATGAAGGAGAAGAAAACTTGACTTAAGACATTTCTTTTATATATTGAAGCTGCAAAAGGAAGAACTGAAACAAGGTTTGTTCTTTTTTTTGGTTAGGATATTAGAGGGCCCTCGTGTGGTTACCATTGGTCCCTGCAAATCGGTAAAGTAGAGCAGTTTTTAGTAATTCTTAGTTCAGCCCTTTTTCTCCAGGCACATAAAGTATATAAATCAACTCTCTCAAAAATATCCTAATTTTAAAGAATACTAGTGAGGATTCCATAATCCCATATCCCTGGATGGATATTTTAATGTAATATAGAAAACTTCACTTAAGAAATTCTATCATCTCATACCAGTTAGAATGGCAATCATTAAAAAGTCAGGAGACAATAGGTGCTGGAGAGGATGTG